>NC_000004.12:88769865-88921381 GCF_000001405.40 Homo sapiens | reverse complement strand
TCTCTTCTGGCTGGTAGAGTTTCTGCCGAGAGATCCGCTGTTAGTCTGATAGGCTTCCCTTTGTGGGTAACCCGACCTTTCTCTCTGGCTGCCCTTAACATTTTTTCCTTCATTTCAACTTTGGTGAATCTGACAATTATGTGTCTTGGAGTTGCTCTTCTCGAGGAGTATCTTTGTGGCGTTCTCTGTATTTCCTGAATCTGAATGTTGGCCTGCCTTGCTAGATTGGGGAAGTTCTCCTGGATAATATCCTGCAGAGTGGTTTCCAACTTGGTTCCATTCTCCCCGTCACTTTCAGGTACACCAATCAGACGTAGATTTGGTCTTTTCACATAGTCCCATATTTCTTGGGGGCTTTGTTCATTTCTTTTTATTCTTTTTTCTCTAAACTTCCCTTCTCGCTTCATTTCATTCATTTCATCTTCCATCACTGATACCCTTTCTTCCAGTTGATCACATCGGCTCCTGAGGCTTCTACATTCTTCACGTAGTTCTCGAGCTTTGGCTTTCAGCTCCATCAGCTCCTTTAAGCACTTCTCTCTATTGATTATTCTAGTTATACATTCGTCTAAATTTTTTTCAAAGTTTTTAACTTCTTTGCCTTTGGTTTGAATTTCCTCCTGTAGCTCGGAGTAGTTTGATCATCTGAAGCCTTCTTCTCTCAACTCGTCAAAGTTGTTCTCCGTCCAGCTTTGTTCCGTTGCTGGTGAGGAACTGCGTTCTTTTGGAGGAGGAGAGGCACTCTGCTTTTTAGAGTTTCCGGTTTTTCTGCTCTGTTTTTTCCCCATCTTTGTGGTTTTATCTACTTTTGGTCTTTGATGATGGCGATGTACAGATGGGTTTTTGGTGTGGATGTCCTTTCTGTTTATTAGTTTTCCTTCTAACAGACAGGACCCTCAGCTGCAGGTCTGTTGGAGTTTGCTAGAGGTCCACTCCAGACCCTGTTTGCCTGGGTATCAGCAGCGGTGGCTGCAGAACAGCGGATTTTCGTGAACCGCGAATGCTGCTGTCTGATCGTTCCTCTGAAAGTTTTGTCTCAGAGGAGTACCCGGCCGTGTGAGGTGTCAGTTTGCCCCTACTATGGGGTGCCTCCCAGTTAGGCTGCTCGGGGGTCAGGGGTCAGGGGTCCACTTGAGGAGGCAGTCTGCCCGTTCTCAGATCTCCAGCTCCGTGCTGGGAGAACCACTGCTCTCTTCAAAGCTGTCAGACAGGGACATTTAAGTCTGCAGAGGTTACTGCTGTCTTTTTGTTTGTCTGTGCCCTGCCCCCAGAGGTGGAGCCTACAGAGGCAGGCAGGCCTCCTTGAGCTGTGGTGGCCTCCACCCAGTTCGAGCTTTCCGGCTGCTTTGTTTACCTAAGCAAGCCTGGGCAATGGCAGGCGCCCATCCCCCAGCCTCGCTGCCGCCTTGCAGTTTGATCTCAGACTGCTGCGCTAGCAATCAGCGAGACTCTGTGGGCGTAGGACCCTCCGAGCCATGTGCGCGATATAATCTCCTGGTGCGCCATTTTTTAAGCCCGTCGGAAAAGCGCAGTATTAGGGTGGGAGTGACCCGATTTTCCAGGTGCCATCTGTCACCCCTTTCTTTGACTAGGAAAGGGAACTCCCTGACCCTTTGCGCTTCCTGAGTGAGGCAATGCCTTGCCCTGCTTCAGCTCGCGCATGGTGTGCTGCACCCACTGTCCTGCGCCCACTGTCTGGCACTCCCTAGTGAGATGAACCCGGTACCTCAGATGGAAATGCAGAAATCACCCGTCTTCTGCGTCGCTCATGCTGGGAGCTGTACACTGGAGCTGTTCCTATTCGGCCATCTTGGCTGCCCTCTGGCATTTCTCTTAAAGTTGTGAATCAACTCATACATTCTTGTATCTTCTAAAACACTTATTCTAGTTCTTTATATTTACTCAAAACATCCATTAAATTACAACACATTTATCTAAGTGAAAGTTAACTTAAATTTCCTTCAAGAAAGTCATAGTAACTATTCTGAGCATTAATAATTGTTCACATCTCTAGTGCATTCAATAAAAGTTTGCTTCACAGACTTCCAACTACCTAATTTACCAGGTGAATCAATTCTGTGCATTCCTTTTTAAGACATGCTGACTGCTGTACATGGCAACCCTGAATACTTGTGACTAATAGGTGACTGTCTTATACATCTGCTCAATACCAGGTTTACTGTATGCTAACCAGGATGTTTGTTTCCAAACCTGTTTATGCCAGTTATTGTTTTTTTATGGTACTTATATAATTTAGTTAAACAAATGTAGTGTGAATACAACAATATAGCTATTTATGGGAAAATAGTGTCAGAGTAGTTAATGGAAGGTTCTGTAAAAGATTATAAAACCTTGGTGGCTTAAGACAATCAAAATGTATTTCTCATTCACTTTGCAGTACAGTGGGTTGAGGAGCCCTCCTCATATTAGACCAGCTACCATCAAAGTTTGCCTTATCAGAGAAAGAGGAGGATGAAAATAATTTGGAATATTTTTATGGCCAGGCCTAGAATTGGCTTGTCATGTGGCTCCCAATCTAACTGGAAGAGAGGCTGAAAATGGTTTCCCTGATGCCCAGAGGGAGAAGATGAGGAAATGATATGGTGTACACAAAGCGTTGCCACTGCCACAAAGCTTAGTTGAATACTTAGGAAAGACCTGATAATGATTAAAGGCTTCATATTTTCACTCCATGTATTTTCACTCCAATATATAGGTGATGCATTTTGACTGTGGCTTGTACAAGAAAGACTGTACACAAAAGATTATTTGTTACGATTCCCTGCTTTAGTTTACTTTGGGACTTACCTAACTTGCATTGTTTCCTGATCTCATTAAATAGGAAGGACTCTTCAGGAGAGGCAGTATTCTGTGCAGGTGAGAGCAGGTTTTGGAGACAGATAGCCTGGCTTCAAATTCCAGTGTTGCCACTTACTAAGTGTAGGACCTTAGACAAGTTACTCATACTCTCTGTACCTCACTTTCCTTACATATGAAATTTGGATAATAAAGCACATATTTCATAGGGTTGTTGTGAAGATCAAATGAGTAAATGTGTAATAAGCACTTAGAAGAAAACCGTGCACATAGTTAACTACTATATAAGTGATAGCCAGTGTTGTTTATTAGTTTGATTATCATTACCATCAATGCTGCACGATTTCAATTCAAAATTTTCTCGAGTGCCCACAATATGAAAGACACTATAATAAATATTTGTGTAACTCAAAGTACTTTCTTTAGTTGAAAACAACAAAAACCAACTCTGGGTAAAATTTGACAAAAGAAAAGGAAAGGAAAGGAATTTCTACAAACCAGACTTCCCAGAGGACACTTACCAAGACAGCTGTAAGGTTCTGGGCAGCAGGCAGTGTGAGAGCTGAACAGTGTCTTCAACAGACTGCCACTGGGAGAGTCGGCTTTAGCTATTCTCAGTTTTTGAGTCTTCTCATTTCTGGTCAAAATTATAGTGAATGGGTATCTGATTGATATTTGGAAGCTCTTGGAAGACATGTCCAGCTGTTCATCAGAGATACACCTTTATTGAAACACTGTATCCAATAGGAGAAGAGTGGTTTCTTAAAAATACATCTTCCTCCAAAGAAGGGAAAATGAGTGTTGGATGTGGAAAAATATTAATTGTCTACTTCAGCACCATAAAGAGAAAAAAGATTGAAAAGTCCTTTAAGCATCTGAGGTCAAGGATGGAAAATGGGATAAGCACATAAGTAATTAGGGCAAGCAACAAGTGACCGCAATTATAATGTTCATGTAGGGTAGATATGACAAGAAGGGTGGGTTGAAAGGTATTGGATGGCAGGAATAAGAATTTAAATTTGATGATGGGCAGCAGTAATTAAAAGTTTCCAGGAAAGGAGTAACTTGAATTAGAGTTGGCTATGGTTTGGATGTGGTTTGTTTGTCTCCACAAAATCTCATGTGGATACTTGGTCCTCAGCGTTGGAGGTGGGACCTAATGGGGGGTGTTTGGGTCATGGGGGTGGATTCCTCGTGAATAGATTAATGCCCTCCCTTGGAAGTGAGTGAGTTCTCCCTGTATTAGTTTCTGCAAGAGCTGGTTATTAAAAAGAGCCTGGCACCTCCCCCTTGCCATATGATCTCTACACAGGTTGGCTCCCTTTTGCCTTCCTTCACGAGGCACTCACCATATGCAGATGCCCAAACTTAACTTTCCAGAATGAGCCAAATAAATCTTTTTTCTTTATAAATTACCCAGCTTCAGGTATTCCTTTATAGCAACACAAAACAGACTAAGAGTAATAAAGTAGAAAAAATTAATTTGGCATCCATGTGTAGGATAAACTGAAGTAGAGGAGTCAGAAGAGGTTGTTTTTGACTCGTCAGTCTATTCAGTTATTCAACCATTTATTGAATGCCTATTAGCCAGCTGGTATTCTATGAGCTTTAAAAATAGCAGTGAATTTTAAAAATAATACCTGTTCTCATCTTTACCTTTTAGTGGGGTGGCACAGACAATAAACAATTAAGGAAGTTACTATGTCATCTGATGATAGATTCTGAAAAAAAAAATTAAACTATGATACACTCTTGAAATTAATGGTACTGTGTATGAGCTGGGGAGCTTTTTTATATAGAGAAGTGAAGGAAGGCCCCTAGGCTAGGTAGCATTTGAGTGCAGATCTAAATGACATGGTGGAGCAAGCCATACAAACTTTTTGGAGGAAGAGCAGTCTAAGCAGAAGTAACAGCAAGTACAAAGGCCCTGAGTCAGACACTTGCACACTTGCATATGGTAGTGGATAATTATTTAAACCTCTGTGCAAATAAATAAAAAGTAGAGCCTCTCTAAGTCAAGACTGTTAAATGAGAAAGCATGGTGGGTTAGATGATCGAAGGAAAGCACAGATATTAGGAATAGATCAGAGCAACACATGGACACCTAAACGAATCTCAACTCAATAAGTACTGTGACAGAAGTAAAGCAGGTTGAAAAACATAACTAGGGAAAGCTTTTTTTGATAAAGTTGTTAGATGGAGCTTCTCCAAAGAGGTGATATAGGAGCTGAAGGAAAACTCTATATTGGATTATAATAATATTAAGACTGGGAGTCCAAACTTTAGAGCTTAATGATGCTTGATGTCTTTGTTCATCTTCCCTTGCTTGTAACAGAATACCTGAAATGGAATAATTTATAAAGAAAAGTAATTTATTCTTTGTAGTTTTGAAGGCTGAGAAGTCCAAGCTCAAGGTGCTATATCTGGTGAGGGCCTTCTTGCTCTAGGTGGTACAGGGCATCACATAGTTAGGGGGCTAAGTGTGCTAGTTCAAATCTCTCTTCCTCTTCTTCTTCTTTTTTTTAATTTATAAAGATAAGAGGTTTCTTTGGCCCACAGTTCTGCAGGATGTACAAGAAGCATAGCACCAGCATCTGCTTCTGGCAAGGGCGTCAGGCTGCTTCCACTCATGGTGGAAAGGGGAAGGGGAGCTGGCATGTGCAGAGGTCACATGGCAAGAGAGGACGCAAAAGCCATTAATCCTGCTCCCATAATAACCCATTAATTCATTAACCCATTAATCTATTAATCCACAAATGAATTAATCTATTCTTGAGGGCAGAGCTCTTAAAACCCAATCACTGCTTAAAGGGCCTCTCAACACTGCCACTTTGGGGCTTAAATTTCAACACGACTTTTGGAGAGGACAAATACTCAAACCATAGCACTTGACAATGAAGTTTGATTTAATTTGACCACCCCTGCTGCAATTCATTTTCATTAAGTTTCTTTACATGGAAATGACTGGTTGCCATTTTCTGTAGGGCAATTTTTAATAGACTTAAACACAATCAAAATTATAATTGTGTTTCATAAGGTATATAATTCATAAGGTTCTACCTGTGAATATTATTGTTGCAGTTCATAAAGTAATTATAATTAGTTCAAAATTCTATGTAGAATTTCACTACTTCTCATCTTCCCATTTCTACTTCCCTGGGCCAAGCCAGAAAATTACAGAGTTTTTCCAAAAATATATAGTGAAGATCTAGAAAGTGCTATTTTAAAATTCAATTTATTCCTTTCATTAATGTAAAGATAACATTATATTTCTTTCGAGTTTTAAGAAAATCTACTTTTTTCTGTCAATCAAATTGAGATTCATTTTGAGATATAGATGAATTGCAGAAGAGACTTCTATGGGGTTGTAAAGAGTGATCTGTAATCTGCCAGTCATATGTATTGGACCCTGGTTATGTGCAAAGTAGCACTGTTCTACATGCGCTTTCCTATAAGATGCCTCAGCCATGGGCCTTTGCTACTTCAATTTGTAATCATATCAGTATTGCTCTCTGTCTTCTGCTCTCCAGATCACCAAATCTGACCAAATCAACTGTTGTGAGTTTGACCCCAGCACACCAAATGCAGTTCCTCCCTGTCATAATGTAGCTTCTTTTATGTGTATCCTCATCCATCAGAAATAGGAAAATGTGTTATTATCTTGTTCCCAATATCACAGAGTCCACCAAAATTCTCTAATGGTTGGAAATTAATGCTAAAAGGAAGGGAAATGTGAAGTTGACAGTTTTATTCGTTCATTCAAAAAATACTTATTAACTATACACTGAATACTAGAATACACTGATCAAATATGTTTACCTCTCATGAGCCTTAAAGACTTCTTGGAGTGGTAGATAATCAATAACAAATTAAAGTAAGTACTGTGGTTGAAGATGAAGCCTGTTAAGAAGAAAAGAGCATAGTTAGAGGAGCCACTTTAGATAAGGTTGTTAAAGATGGCCTCTCTGAGGAAGTGACATGGGAGCTGAAAGATAAGAATGAATGCACAGCTATGCTAGAGCAGTGTGGAAAATCATTCCAGGGAGAAGGAATAAGAAGGGCAAATGCTGGAAGGCAGGAAGGGACTTGGGGTATTTGAAGAACAGAAAAGAAGGCCATGGTGGCTGGGGCATAACGAGGAGAGGGGAAATGCTATGAGATTAGAGACATAGGCAAGAGCTAGATCATTGGGACTGTGTAGGTCATGGTAAGGAATTTGGATTTTATTGTTGGAATAATGATATATCATTGGAAGATTTAGGGTAGAGAAGTGACATTGTCTGATTTACATGTACAAAGCTTGTAGAAGGCAAGATGTTTGAAATAATTTAGGTGAACAATGATGGTTATGATTGGGGTGACTGTGCACATAGGGAAGAGTAGACCGATTTCAGTTTATTTTGGAGATAGTACTGACTGCACTTGGCGGGTTGAATGCAAGAGGTATGGGAAAGGGAGGAATCAGGGTAGATTCCTAAGACATTGTCCTGAGCAACTAGGTGACATTTGCTAATTTAAGGAAGACTCAAAGACTGACAGTTTTTTTTTTTTCTTTTTTTTTTGAGACGGAGTCTCACCCTGTCATCCAGGCTGGAGTGCAATGGCATGATCTTGGCTCACTGCAACCTCAGACTGACAGAATTTTTTTGCTGATAATTTATAAGCTCAAGTTTGAACATACTAAGTGTAGAGTTGCCAATTAGGCAATTAGATGTAAGTAATATGAGCTCAGGAGAAACATCAGAGACAGAGACACAAATTTGGGCAACATTATATATTGGTAGTATTTAAAAGCCATGAAGGTGAATGATTTCATATCATTTGGGAAAAGAAGGCTTCTCTGTATCAACTCTTGAGTCACTCCGACTTCCTTCATTCATTTATTCAACACACATTTATTGAGTTCCTGCTATACCAGGCAATTCTCTATGGAATTGTGATCACAGTAGTAAAAGGAGACATGTATTATTTGCCGCCTTCTTCTTCTTTTTTCTTCTTCTTCCTCCTCCTCCTCTTCCTCCTCTTCTTCCTCTTCTTCCTCCTCCTCCTCTTCTTCCTCTTCCTCTTCCTCCTCTTCTTCTTCCTCTTCCTCCTCCTCCTCTTCTTCTTCTTCCTCCTCCTCTTCTTCCCTCTTCCCTCTACTACTACTTCTACTACTTCTTCTTCTTTGTCTTCCTCCTCCTCCTCCTCTTCTTCCTCTTCTCTTCTTCCTCCTCTTCTTCCTCTTCTTCTTCTTCCTCCTCCTCTTCTTCCTCTTCCTCTTCCTCCTGTTCTTCTTCCTCTTCCTCTTCCTCCTCCACTTCTTCCTCTTCTTCTTCCTCCTCCTCCTCTTCTTCCTCTTCCTCTTCCTCCTGTTCTTCTTCCTCTTCCTCTTCCTCCTCCACTTCTTCCTCTTCTTCTTCCTCCTCCTCCTCTTCTTCCTCTTCCTCTTCCTCCTGTTCTTCTTCCTCTTCCTCTTCCTCCTCCTCCTCTTCTTCTTCTTCCTCCTCCTCTTGTTCCTTCTCTCTACTACTACTTCTACTACTTCTTCTTCTTCTTCTTCCTCCTCCTCCTCCTCTTCTTCCTTCTTTCTTCTTCTTTCTTCTTTCTTCTGTCTTGCTCTGTCACCCTGGCTGGAGTGCAGTGGTGTGATCACAGCTCACTGCAGGCTGGACCTCTTGGGCTCAATAGGTCCTCCTGCCTCAGCCTCCTGAGTATCTAGGACCACAGGAATGTGCCACCATGCCTGCCTAATTTTATTTTGTTGTTTTTGTAGAGACAGAGTCTCACTAGGTTGCCCAGGCTTAGACTTCTCTTTAGTAGAGGATTCAGAAAATAAACCAATAACCAATAGATATGTAACTGTAACTTTGTTGTATAGAGGAGGAGCAGCAGCCAACTGTATGGAGTTGGTCTGGGTGAGTAGGAAAATGTTTTCCTCCTGTATATGTTCAAGGTTTTCCAGAGAAAACCAATAGGAGGTGTGTGTGTGTGTGTGTGTGTGTGTGTGTGTGTGTATGTATGTGTGTAAAGAGAGAGGTGATTTATTATGGGGTTTGGCTCACATGATTTTGGAGGCTGAAGAGCTCTATAATATGCTGTTTGCAAGCTCTGGTGAATCAGGGAAGCTGGTAGCATGGCTCAGTCTAAATCCGAAGTCTTGAGTGGCTGGGAAGCTGATGGTGCAAGTCCAAAGTCCAAAGGCTGCAGAACCTGGAGTTTTAATGTCCAAGAGCAGGGGAAGATGGGTGCCCCAGCTCTAGGAGAGACATCAAATTCACCTTTCCTCTGCCTTTTTGTTCTCTATATGTCCTCAGCCAATTGGATGGTGCCTGCAACATTTGGTGAGAGTGGATCTTCCTTACTCAGCCCATTGATTCAAATACCAGCCTCTTCCAGAACACCCTCACAGACATACCCAGAAATAATGTTTTGCCAACTCTTTGGACATCTCTTCATTTAGTCAAGTTGACACCTAAATTTAACCATCAAAAGCCACCTACCAGTGATGTCATGGAAGCTAAGAGAAGACAGTAATTCAAGAATAGTTACCTTCTTTAAATGTTACTAAGAACAAGAGTAAGACGGAGGCTGAGCTGTGACTGTTTTGGCAGATTCTGTGAAATAGTGAGACAAAGACCACATCTTAGGGCATTGAAGAATGAATTGGAGGTGAGGAAGTAGAGAAAGTGAGTGAAGATGGCTGTTTTAAAGGAATTTGCTATGAAGGGAAGCAAGTAGGACCATAGCTAATGGGAGATGTAGGATTAAGGAAGTATCTTTTAAAAATAAACAAACAAAAATGAGAAGATATGACTGCAGAGCATGCTTGTGATTGATGGGAATGGTCACAGTGGGGAAGGGAGTGACAGGAGACCGTTGAAGGAGCAGCCTTTGGGGAGATGAAAGGAGATGAGATCCACTGTGCATATGGAGGGAATTGCTCTTTGATACAACCAGTCTTATCTCTCATTGCAACAACAGGGAAGGCAGAGAGGATTGAATGATTTCAGCTAGGTTTGTAGATTTGATGGTGTGGCAATGACTAGCTTCTGCTCCGATGTTTCTGTTTTTCCAAAGAGGTATTAAGCAAGAATGGAAAGAAAGGGGTTTGAGAAGAGAGGGAAAGACAAGAAATATCATCTTGGAAAGTGGAAAATCAAGTTACGCAAGAAGTATAGCAGAATTGCTGTACATGAGGGAGGGCCCATCCAAAGTTTTTGGTCATAAATTTAATGTGAAACCAATCAACCAATTCTGTAACTTTTTCCAGCCACTTTGAGCTGCTCCGTTCTCAGCACAGAGAAAGCATATAGCTGGATTCATCCAACATTGTACTTTTGTGAGGTGAATGCAATGATTGGAGACTGGAGGAAAGAAATTAAGGGTATTAGCAAGAGAACGAAGGATCATAAAGGGAATTTAAGAAGGGAATTAAGAAGGGACTAAAAGCAGGAGGAATGCACAAGGGGCTTGGAAGGGGATTTTATTCATTCAGTTTACTCAGTCACTCAACAATTGAGCTCCTACTATGTGCCAAACCTAGTTGTAGGCTCTGTGGATATAATGTATTTATGAAGAAGACTGACCAAGTCCTCTCACAGAGTAGGGTGAGATGGACAATAAAGAATTAAAAGCAGCTGGGCGTGGTGGCTCACGCCTGTAATCCCAGCACTTTGGGAGGCTGAGGCGGGCAGATCACGAGGTCAAGAGATTGAGACCATCCTGGCCAACGTGGTGAAACCCCGTCTCTACTAAAAATACAGAAATTAGCTGGGCATGGTGACGCGTGCCTGTAGTCCCAGCTACTCAGGAGGCTGAGGCAGGAGAATCGCTTGAACCCAGGAGGCAGAAGTTGCAGTGAGCTGAGATGGCACCACTGCACTCCAACCTGGTGACAGAGCGAGACTCCATCTCAAAAAAAAAAAAAAGAATTAAAACCAGTAAGTTTAAGGTTGGATATTTCTAAGGGCTATGGGGAAACATAAAATAGGGTAGGGGATAGAGAGAAACAAGTGGAAGAGGAGGGAGGTAGTGATTAATATCCCTTCCCAGGTGGCATCCTGGGAAGATAACCTGCTCCAGTGAAATTGAGCAAAGACCTGAATGAAACAAGGGACCAAACCTTAAAAGAGCTGTGGAAGTAGTGTGCAAGGCTGAGGGGACAGTGAGTGCTTTCCTATTTTTAAATGTCATTAGTAGTTGAATAGTAAGGCAAAAGAAACCATGATAAGGTATTTTTTTCCTTCCTTATTGTATTTTTAACTGGTGTTCTCATGATACCATGACACAGCTGGTTTAAGCAAGTAGGTGTTGTGCAAAGGTCATTAAAGTAAGCAATTGGTTCAGTCAAAAGTCTCATGTAAGTAGATCAAATGTTTAAAATAAGTATAAATATGCCGTATGTGATCTATTAATGTCCAGTTTGACACTTCGTTCTCCAGTGCCCAGCATTGGAATAACACCCATTCCAACTAGTAATAAGATTCAGTTGATATTTGTTGAATAAATTTTCATGCCTACATACAATTTAACACTTAGAAACACAACATCCCCCTCCAAACTTTTTCTAAAAAGTTCTTCTAAAGGAAGAGTTTGAACACAAACCCGAGGTCTCTTACCTTGAGAATGTGGGAACGTTCTTTACATGGCTTTGTAAAAAATTTAGATATAATTCACATACCATTGAAATTCACTCTTATAAAGTATACAATCTATGGCTTTGTGTGTGTTCACAAAACTGTGCAATCATCACCATTACCTAATTCCAGAATATTTTTATCACCCTAAAAAGAAACCTCAGCTGGGTACGGTGGCTCACTTCTGTAATCCCAGCACTTTGGGAGGCCAGGGTGGGCGGATCACAAGGTCAAGAGATAGAGACCATCCTGGCCAACATGGAGAAACCTCATCTCTACTAAAAATACAAAAATTAGCTGGGCATGGTGGTGCACACCTGTAGTCCCAGCTACTCCAGAGGCTGAGACAGGAGAATCGCTTGAACCTGGGAGGCGGAGGTTGCAGTGAGCCAAGATCACGCCACTGCACTCCAGCCTGGCAACAGAGCGAGACTCCATCTCAAAAAAAAAAAATAAAAAACCTCATGTACATCAGACCCATTAGCAGTCACTCCACATTCCCCACTCCTCCCAACCCCTGGCAATAACCAATCTACTTTCTGTCACTAAGTATTTGCCTATTCTGGACATTTCATATAAGTGGAATCACACAATATATATCCTTTTGTGTCTGTATTATTTCACTTAGCATGTTTTCAAGGTTCATTCATGTTGTAGCAGGTGTCAGTACTTTATTCCTTTTTATAGCCGAAGAATATTCTATTATGTGACTATACCATGTCTTGTTTATCCATTCATCAATTAATGGGCATTTGGATTGTCACCACTTTTAGGCTATTATGAATAATTCTACTATTTGCATTTGTGTTGATATTTTTGCTGTGGACATAAATTTTCAACTTTCTCAGATACATATGTACAAATATAAATGGCTTTATAAAGATTTAGAAAATGTTTTATCTTACTATTTCATACTTAACTGCATAATATATATTTTAAAAGAATACATTAAGTTATCACCAGTTATTTGCTTAGGTTACTAGTTGAATTATTTAACTTTTCTCCAGAAATCTAAGTACCATGGGCCTTATAGGAAGGTGTTACCTGTGTCCTGTGGCTCTGCAGCCCCCTTGCTCGCTGCTTGCTGCAAGGGTGGGAGCTGCTGTTTCAGTACCATTCTGATGGGGCACTGGGAACGCAACTCTGAACGGGTGCTGGCTTGTCTTTTCATCAATAAATACTACTTCTTCCTTGAGCTAGATCTCTTATCTGCCAGTTCATTCTCAGACTGCTAAACTTTACTTTGTCTGTATTGTCTAAGTTTAAAGTCATAAAACAAAAAGTAAATATAATTCATGTAGGTGACATTTGCAAATAGAAGTTTAGAAAAAATGCTTTCAGAGTCTTATAGGAAAAAGTTGACTGTCAGCCTTGTGCCCATTAATTCACAGAGACAGGGCTGGAAAATAGAATAAAGAAATACTGTCACTTCTGTTTTTTGCATAAGGAAGAAAGAATTATAGGCATTTGTAAACACTCAGACAGTCATAGACAACAGTCAGACATTTCTACTAATTTCCCTTAACAGTCAGCCTTGTTTCTTTTCATCATATTCTAGCATTTACATACCAGTAGTTTTAAAAAACAGGTACAAGCATAAAGCATAATTGTGTTATCCAAGCATAGTCAAATTATGCAATGTATTATGCAGTTGGCTCTCCTAAATGTCATGCTGGATATAGTTTATCCCTCTCACAGTGAGTCAGAAGCGGGAATGGGTTCATTCACTATTTCCAGAAAGCAGCTTACCACCAGCAGGTGCTGTAACTAGTGGGAAAGGGTAAGACTGGAATGCACACTTATTTAGGGATCTCTGAAATGTACCCTTTGGTACTTACATAAGGGCTATGTGAGGCCACAGGCAGCTGAGAGTGTTGGCAGTACCTGCAGCTACTCCCCAGCTTAGAAGAGGCTTCCAATCCCCTATGCATCTGGGAATGTTTGTCCCTAGCACAAACCTGAGAACATGTGCTGTGTACTACTTTGTGGTCCAGACATGAGTCTCAGCTTTGCCACTGTCTATGTGATCTTGGACACATCACCTTAGAATCCAAGTCCCTCATCTGTAAAATCAGGGAGGCCGACTAGTTGACCTTTACAAAACTCTTTTGGCTTTAAAATGCTATGGCTCCACAACTTAGTGGTTTTAGATGCCAAGTATGGTATATCGGAGATGAGTAATATATAAAGGTATTAAGAGCTCAGGCCCTAATGTTTTACAGAACAATCTTTGAGTCCTGTGTGACCTTGGGCAAGTTTACTTAACTTCTGTAAGCCTGCATTGTGTTAGCCTTAAAGGGGAGATGATGATAATAGTTCCTAGCTCATAGGGCTATTGGGCGTAAAAACGGCATTATAAATGCAGTCTTTAGCAACGCCCAATACATCATAAGATTCAATCTTTATTAATAATAAGTAGTGTTGTTACTTTCTTTAGGGACATTTTATCCTAATAATATATTGTTCCCTTTAGAAATAAATGAATATAAGTCTAGCAAATTTTAATAATATTCTGAAGTATGCAGACTAAAATTATGTTTAAAAGATTGTAACGAATTAGCCATAAACTAAACTTTTAAAAAATGTATGATTTAGATGATTGAATGGCAGGAATGTTGGGGAAGAAATGGGATATGGAGGATTATGGAATAAGTGAAAAAAATCTGACTGACTTTCTCAGCCTTCTTGTTGCCTATAATTTTCCTTTTATGTATTATTTTCCTATCTTAATTTGGAGATGGAATCATCTATGGAAAGCTTATCCAAGTTAATGGCTATTCGGAAGTGAGGCTCTGCATTATTGAAACAACAAAACAAACAAGATTACTGTCATTTCTGTTCATCGTGTATGAATAAATAATAAATCTATACAGTTATGCCTCAGCTGCCTCCTTGTAATTTCTGCCATTATTTTGGCAAATGTTCTTTTGGTGTGAACCAAGGACTTGGAGGTTTAATAATTCTGGAAACAGATACTCATATATTCTTCCACAAGGTGTTAATACAAAACTATCACCGTTTAATAGTGGTTTGGTAAATTATCTGAAGGAAATTGTTTAAGGTCAAGTATGTAAAGAGTCAGAATACATCTGTAAAATGTAGGGAATGTTGGCGACTTTAAGTTTGTTGGTTGATATTTTGGAGATTTAACTATTCACTTCTCAAAAGAAGAGCAAGCTGTCTATACTGGATATGTATGTGATAAAATGACATAACAGTGCAGATATGATTTTTAATGATCATCTCTGAATATATGTACTGTACATCTCTCACCTACTCCATCACCATCTTATCTTACTTTATTGTTGTATATGACATGTAAGAGGAAAAGTTTTGACTCCGTACTACAATTTCACCAGCTTCTGATGTGAACAACTCAATCCAGAAATGCTCTCTCTTCAAAACTGTTTTTCACTACCTTGTAATTTTTGGTTAGGGTAAGTGTTCTTTAATCTCTAATGTTTCCTTTATACTTCTTTTGTAGGAGGTCTATTATAAGAACTCCCTGCCCATCCTTTTAACAAGAGGCTTAGAAAGAGACATGCCAAAACCACCTCCAAAAACCAAGGTAAACTATGTTTTCTCTGTAGGCGACCATGTGAAATCTTTAGCATGGTTCTTTGTTTTTTGTTGTTTTTGTTTGTTTGTTTGTTTGTTTTGAGACAGAGTCTTGCTTTATCGTCCAGGCTGGAGTGCAGTGGCGCAATCTCAGCTCACTGCAACCTCTGCCTCCTGGGTTCAGGCAGTTCTCCTGCATCAGCCTCTGGGGTAGCTCGGACTAAAGGTGCGCACCACCATGCCCAGCTAATTTTTGTATTTTTAGTAGAGACGGGGTTTTGCCATGTTGGCCAGGCTGGTCTCAAACTCCTGACCTCAGGTGATCTGCCTGCCTTGGCCTCCCAAAGTGCTGGGATTACAGGCGTGAGCCACCATGCCCGGCCAGCATGTTTCTTGATGCTCTCCTATTTCCATGTTCTGTTGATTGCATTTCCTTCAGCCCTTTTGGTTTTTTATTTGTTTGTTTTTTCAGGGAAGTAGGCATGAGGGAGTGTTGCGGGAGGATCTGGTGGTATAAAAGCACTTTTTATACAGTACCTTTAATCCATGGTTGTATTCAGCCAAAAATTCTTCAGACACTCCTATTATTGAAGAGATAGTGATAATTTTTAGTAGATGGTTTTACTTCTGCTCAATAACAATTGTGGCTATGAGACCATGCCTTTTGCAGGAACATGGATGGAGCTGGAGGCTATCATGCTTGGTAAACTAACGCAGGAATAGAAAACCAAATACCACATGTTCTCACTTATAAATAGGAGCTAAATGACAAGAACTTATGAACACAAAGAAGGAAACAACAGACACTGGGACCTCCTCGAGGGTGGAGGGTGGGAGGAGGAAGAGAAACAGAAAAGATAAGTATCGGGTACTGGGCTTAATACCTGGGATGTGATAATATGTACAACAAACCCTTGTGACACATGTTTACCTATGTAACCTTCACATGTACCCCCAAACGTAAAATAAAAAATTTTGAAAAGAAATATATAAAAAGTAAAATGCCAAAAAGTTCACTATTAAGAAAGAAAAAGGACCAGTCTGGCCAACATGTTGAAACCCCATCTGTACTAAAAATACAAAAAAAATTAGCCAGGATTGGGTGGCGGGCTCCTGTAATCCCAGCTAACTGGGAGGCTGAGGCAGAAAGAATTGCTTGAACCTCAGAAGCAGAGGTCGCAGCGAGCTGCGACAAGAATGAGACTCCATCTCGTTCATACATACATACATATATACACACATACATACTTACATATAATTTTTTCTAGCCTCTGACATAGGAAATAGTCAAGTGCAGTAGATCTTCCTAGGGTACCTCTAAGCATAATAGAAATGCATGAGATGCATTTTCCCTTCTGGGCGTAAAGTAAAATGTTCAGCTGTAATTTTTTTAAATAAAAATCACTGTATGATGTTTCATAATTATGAGGAACACATAATCAATGGAAAGTATTTACATAAATTTTAATAAGAAAAAATAAAAACTATTATAGATATGATAGCATAAAGGCGTTAATGTGTAAAATTTTGTTTCCCTTAGTAAGAAAAAATCCAAAATGCTGATAATTGTTTTGCCAGTGAAAAGAAAAATTTCTTTTTTCTCTTCAACTTTGATTTTAGGTTCAGAGGTACAGGTGCAGGATGTACAGAGTTGTTACATAGGTAAAGGTGTGCCATGGTGGTTTGCTGCACAGATCTCCTACCATCACCTAGGTATTAAACCCAGCATCCATTAGGTATCCTTGCTTATTCCCTCACCCTAAGCCACCCCACTGACGGGTCCCAGTGTGTGTTATTCCCCTCCCGGTGTCCATGTGGTCTCATGATTCAGCTCCCATTTATAAGTGAGAACATGCAATGTTTGGTTTTCTATTCCTGTGTTAGTTTGCTGAGAATAACGGTTTCCAGCTCCATCCATGTCCTAGAAAGGACATGATCTCATTCCTCTTTATGGCTGCATAGTATTCCATGGTGTATGTGTACCACATTTTCTTTATCCAGTCTATGATTGATGGGCATTAGGGTTGATTCCATGTCTTTGCTATTGTAAGTAGTACTGCAGTGAACATACATGTGCATGTATTGTTATAATAGAATGATTTATATTCTTTTGGACATATACCCAGTAATGGGATTGCTGGGTCATATGGTATTTCTGGTTCTAGATCTTTGCAGAATCACCATATTCTCTGCCACAATGGTTGAACTAATTTACACTTCCACCAACACTGTAAAAGCATTTCTTTTTCTCTGCAACCTCATCAGCATCTGTTCTTTCTTGACTTTTTAATAATAGCCATTCTGACTGGCATGAGATGGTATCTCATTGTGGTTTTGATTTCCATGTATCTAATGATCAGTGATGTTGAGCTTATTTTCCTGATTGTTGGCCACATAAATGTCTTCTTTTGAGAAGTGCCTGTTCATGTCCTTTACCCACTTTTTAATAGGATTTTTTTTCTTATAAATGTGTTTAAGTTCCTTGTAGACTTGATGTTAGACCTTTGTCAGATGGATAAGTTACAAACATTTTCTCCCGTTCTGCAGGTTGTGTGTTCACTATGGTGACAGTTTCTTTTGCTGTGCAAAAGCTCTTTAGTTTAACTAGATCCCGTTTGTCAATTTTTGCTTATGTTGCAATTGCTTTTGGTGTTTTCGTCCTGAAATCTTTGCCCATGCTTATGTCCTGAATGGTATTGCCTAGATTTTCTTGTGAAGTGTTTACAACAAATGTAAAACCCAAAACTCTAAAAATCCTAGAAATCTTTAATCCATTTTGAGTTAATTTTTGTATAAGGTGTAAGGAAGGGGTCCAGTTTCAATTTTTGGCATATGGCTAGCCTGTTCTCTCAGCACCATTTATTAGAGAATCATTTTCCCATAGTTTGCTTTTGTCAGTTTTGTCACAGATGAGATAATTGTAGGTGTTCGGTCTTATTTCTAACTTCTCTATTCTATTCCATTGGTCCATGTGTCTGTTTTTGTACCAGTACTATGTTGTTTTTATACCAGTACCATGCTGTTTGGTTACTGTAGCCTTGTACTATAGTTTGAAGTCAGGTAGCATGATACCTCCAGCTTTGTTCTTTTTGCTTAGGCTTGTCTTGTATGTTTGGTTCCATATGAATTTTACAATAGTTGTTTTCTAATTCTCTGAAGAACATCAATGATAGTTTAATGGGAATAGCATTGAATCTATAAACTACTTTGAGCAGTATGAGTATTTTCATAATACTGATTCTTCCTATCCATGAGCATGGAATGTTGTTATATTTGTTTGTGTCCTCTCTGATTTCTTTGAGCAGTGATTTGTAGTTCCCCTTGAAGAGGTCCTTTACTTCCCTTGTTAGCTGTATTTCTAGCAATTTTATTTTATTCTTTTTGTAGCAATTGTGAATGGGAGTTCATTCATTATTTGGCTCTGTTGTTGGTGAATAGGAATGCTATGATTTTTTGCACATTTCTTTTGTATCCTGAGATTTGCTGAAGTTGCTTATCAGCTTAAGAAGCTTTTTGGGTGAAATAATGGGATTTTCTGGATATAGGATCATGTCATATGAAAACAGGGATAGTTTGACTTTCTCTCTTGCTATTTGAATACGGTTTATTTCTTTCTCTTGCCAGATTGCCCTGACCAGAACTTCTGATATTATGTTGAATGGGAGTGGTGAGAGAGGGCATCCTTGTCTTGTGTCAGCTTTCAACGGGAATGCTTCCAGCTTTTGCTCATTCAGTATGATACTGGCTGTGGGTTTGTCATATATGGCTCTTATTATTTTGAGGTACATTCCTTCAATACCTAGTTTATTCAAAGTTTTTAACATGAAGTATGTTGAATTTTATCAAAGGCCCCTTCTGCATCTATTGAGATAATCAAGTGTTTTTTTTTTCTTTAGTACTGTTTATGTGATGAATCACATTTACTGATTTGTGCATGTTGAACCAACCTTGCATCCCAGGGATGAAGCTGACTTGATCATGGTGCATATGCTTTTTGATGTGTTGCTGGATTTGGTTTGCCAGTGTTTTATTGACAACTTTTGCATCAATGTTCATCAGGGATATTGGCCTGAAGTTTTCTTTTTTTGTTGTATCTCTGCCAGGTTTTGGTATCAGGATGATGCTGGCCTCATACAATGAGTTAGGGAGGAGTCCCTCCTTTTCAATTTTTTGGAATAGTTTCAATAGAAATGGTACCACCTCTTCTTTGTACCTCTGGTAGAATTCAGCTGCAAATCTTTCTGGTCCTGGGCTCTTTTTGGTTGTAGGCTATTTTCTTACTTCCTCAATTTCAGAACTCATTATTGGTCTATTCAGAGACTCAGTTTCATCCTGTTTCAGTCTTGGGAGGGTGTATGTGTCCAGGAATTTAAACATTTCTTCTAGATTTTCTAGTTTATGTGCATAGTGGTGTTTATAGTATTCTCTGTTGTTATATAGTATTCTCTGGTTGTTTGTATTTCTGTGGGGTCAGTGGTAATATCCCCCTTATTATTTCTGATTATTTGATTCTTCTTTCTTTTATTCTTTATTAGTCTAGCTAGTGGTCTAACTAATTTTTTCAAAAAAGCAGCTCCTAGATTTGTTGATTTTTTTTGAAGGGTTTTTCATGTCTCTACCTCCTTCAGTTCCACTCTGATACTGGTTATTTCTTGTCTTCTGCTCGCTTTGGGGTTTGTTTGCTCTTGGTTCTCTAGTTCTTTTAGTTGTGATGTTAGGCATTTAGTGCTATAAATTTCCCTCTTACCACTGCTTTAGCTGAGTCCCAGAGATTCTGGTACATTGTTTCTTTCTTCTCATAGTTTCAAAGAACTTAATGATTTCTGCCTTAATTTCATTATTTACCCAAGTGTCATTCAGGAGCAGGTTGTTCAATTTCCATGTAGTTGTGTGGTTTTGAGTGAATTTCTTAATCTTGAGTTCTAATTTGATTGCACTGTGGTCTGAAAGACTGTTATGATTTCATTTCTTCTGCATTTGTTGAGGAGTGTTTTACTTCCGATTATGTGATCAATATTAAAGAAAGTGCTGTGTGGTGATGAGAAGAATATATATTCAGTTGTTTGTGGGTGGAGAGTTCTGTAGGTATCTATCAGGTCTGCTTGATCCAGAACTGAGTTCAGGTCTTGACTATCTTTGTTAATTTTCTGTCTCGATGATCTGTCTAATATTTTCAGTGGAGTGTTAAAGCTCCTACTATTATTGTGAGGGAGTCTAAGTCTCTTTATAGGTCTCTAAGAACTTGCTTTATGAATCTGGGTGCTCCTGTATTGGGTGCATATATATTTAGGATAGTTAGCTATTCTTGTTGACTTGAACCATTTTCCATTATGTAAAGCTCTTCTTTGTCTTTTTTTATTGTTGTTGGTTTAAGGCCTGTTTTGTCAGAAACTAGGATTACAACCTCTGCTTTTTCTGTTTTCCATTTGCTTGGAAATTTTCCTCCATCCCTTTATTTTGACCCTATGTGTGTCTTTGCACAGGAGATAGGTCTTTTGAAGACAGCATACTGATGGGTCTTGACTCTATCCAGCTTGCCATTCTGTGTCATTTAATTGGGGCATTTAGCCCATTTACATTTAAAGTTAGCATTGTTATGTGTGAATTTGATCCTATCATTGTGATGCCAGCTGCTTATTTTACAGACTTGTTTACGTGGTTGCTTTATAGTATCACTAACCTGTGTACTTCAGTGTGGTTTTGTATTGGCTGGTAACGGTTTTTCTTTTCCATGTTTAGTGCTTCCTTCAGGACCTCTTGCAAGGCAGGCCTGGTGGTGACAAATTCCCTTGGAATTTGCTTGTCTGCAAAGGATCTTATTTCTCCTTTCCTTATGAAGCTTAATTTGGTCAGATATGAAATTCTGGATTGGAAATTCTTTTTTTTAAGAATGTTGAATATTGGTACCTAATCTCTTCTGGCTTGTAGAGTTTCCACTGAGAGGTCCATGGTTAGTCTGATAGGCTTCCCTTTGTAGGTGACCTGGCCTTTCTCCTTGGCTGCCCTTAACATTTTTTCTTTCATTTTGCCCTTGGAGGATCTGATGATTATGTGTCTTGGCATTGATCTTCTCATGGAGTATCTTACTGAGGTTCTCTGGATTTCCCGAATTTGAATGTTGGGCTGTCTTGTTAAGTTGGGGAAGTTCTCCTGGATGATATATGTTTTTCAGCATATGAAGTATGTTTTCCAACTTGGTTCCATTTTCCTCATCTCTTTCAGGTACCCTAGTCAGTTTTAGGTTTGACATCTTTACATAATCCCATGCATCTCAGAGGTTTTGTTTATTCATTTTCATTCTTTTTTCTGTATTCTTGTCTGCCTGTCTTATTTCAGAAAGGGAGTCTTCAAGCTCTGATATTCTTTCCTCCACTTGGTCTATTCTGCATTGATACTTGTGATTGCATTGTGAATTTCTTATATTGTGTTATTCACTTCCATCAGGTCAGTTATGTTCCTCTCTAAACTGGCTGTTCTGGCTATCAGCTCCTATATTGTTTTATTATGATTCTTAGCTTCTTTGCAGTGGGTTACAACATGCTCCTTTAGCTCAGTGAAGTTCTTTATTACCCATCTTCTGAAGCCTAATTCTGTCAATTCAGCCATCTCAGCCTCCACCCAGTTCTGTGCCTTTGCTGGAGAGGTGTTGCAGTCATTTGGAGAAGAGACACTCTAGCTTTTTGAGTTTTCAGTATAGAAAAACTTCTTTAATCCAGAATGTTTCATGAGAATTTGATCATTTGTTTGTCTACCCAGAAAAGTAATTGTATTAGTTTTATAGCCTGTCACTTTTCTAATCTTTAATCTTTTCATTTGAATAGAATGCCTACTTACTAAGTATATATAATACTCCTAACTAGCCACCATGACATTTATTTATTTATTTACTTACTTACTTATTTTCTTTCCATAAGTTTTTAGGGAACAGGTGGTATTGGGCTACATGAGTAAGTTCTTTAGTGGTGATTTGTGAGATTTTGGTTCACTTATCACCCAAGCAGTATACACTGCACCCAATTTGTAGCTTTTTATCCCTCAACTCCTTCCCACCCTTTCCCCCAAAGTCCATTGTATCATTCTTATCCCTTTGCATCCTCAGAGCTTAGCTCCCACTTATGAGTGAGAATAATGTTTGGTTTTCCATTACTGAGTTACTTCACTTAGAATAATAGTCTCCAGTCTCATCCACGTTGCTGCAAATGCCATTAATCCATTCTTTTTTATGGCTGAATAGTATTTCATCATATATATACGTATGTATGTATATATATATATGTATGTGTGTGTGTATATATACATACACACACATACACACAGACACACACACACACCACAGTTTCTTTACTCACTCATTGATTGATGGGCTTTGGGCTGGTTCCATATTTTTGCAATTGTGAATTGTGCCACTACAAACATGCCTGTGAAAGTATCTTTTTTGTATAATGACTTATTTTCCTTTGGGTAGATACCTAGTAGTGGGATTACTGGATCAAATGGTAGTTCTGCTTTTACTTCTTTAAGGAATCACCACACTGTTTTCCATAGTGGTTGTACTAGTTTACGTTCCCACCAGTGGTGTAGAAGTGTTCCCTTTTTACCACATCCATGCCAACATCTATTTTTTTATTTTTTTTATTATTAGCCACCATGACATTTATAAAGCTACTTTTTTTCCAGTTCTAAGACAATATATTCTCCCAACTTTTTTGAATTCACTGCAGGCAAAATTTTTTAAAACTCTGTTTTCTGATTTTAATAGGAAGTTACTAAAAAAAATTATAGTTTTATTTTCAAAGACAATTCAAGAGCAGCATTGAGCTATTATTTATTGTTTAATTTATGGCAAGAGTATATGGTTTATTTTTAAAGAAATAAAAAATCTTTCCTTATAAAACTTATGCTTTGATTTTTTTCTGGAAAATTATTTCAACTATCTATTATGGTTTCCCTTCTTGACTCAAACAATTTTTTGTGTCTTTTTTACTGAAATATTTGCATGTCCAAACTTACAGATGATAAATTCAAATGTATAGTAGAAATTTGGTTTACTGTACAATTAGTAAACATTCAATGTCAAAAATATACTCACTAAACAAATGCATTTTGGGAAAAAAACATGGGATTTGAGGAACATTTTTAGGTAACATTTGCTTATTAACTGTATATGTATCGACTACTTTGAGGTGATGAGACCTTAAATGAATCATTTCCTAAACGAAATATGCTCTTGAAACTGCTCATAAAAATGTTTTGAAGTGATTCTATTACTCTCATGAAATTAGTCCCATTTCTAACATGTTATTTATGTAAAGAATCATAATTAATGCATACTTATTATCCTCCCTTTCATCTATCTGGCTGGATGGTTTATGACCAACTAATTCCATAGAGAAATTACTTCATTGGTTAAGTCTTGGTTTGTGACTAGCTTCTTTGTGGCCTTACATGGATGAGTGTAAGTTTACATGAGCAAACTAAACTCCACTTAGTTTGGGGTGATTATCTTTGTAATGTCAAATGTCAGAAATGAGGCAGAGCTTGTGAACTATAAGAGATTATTAAGGTACTAACTCTGTCACCAAGATTTTATCTTAAAATCTTCTTTTCTCCAGTTGATCTTTGAAAGCTAAAACTGAGAACACCTTCAAAATATGGTTAGTGTGTCCTTTCTAGGGTGACTTAGTGAGCTGTGAGGGTGATGCCTATCCTTGGTATTAATGGTACTCCATTTGGCCTCCATTGCTGTCTTTCTCAGACATCTTTAGTTACAGCCGTATTTGCCTTGGACAGTTAAGTATTTCTGATCCCTATATGGGCTAGAGATGTAAAATGGTAATCCAGAAATGGCTTATGTCCATTAGCTCTGGAGATGTCTCTGTCATCTAAGCCATCTGTCTGTACGTGTGTTCCCTCTGCCAGCTGGTGTCTCTGCTCTTGAGCAATGAAAAGTGTTATATTTCTTTTCCTTAGGTAGGAAAGCCACATCTTAATTTGAGTCCAGGATGAAAAAGATGATACATCTATTACACAGTGCCATGGCACTTCTGGATGAGTAATGATTCCCAGCCCTGCTAGCTCAAGGACTTACTCGTGTAGCTATTCCATGACCAATACTGCATAGACTGTATATGCCAACAAATAATTGGAGTGGATGACACAGAAGAGAACATCAAACAGATTTTTAGATAAAGAGGTATAGAATGTAGAACAACATAGGTCCTTGTAACGTAGTATAGTTGTTAGGAGAGAAGACAAAATTTTCTTCTACCAGACACAGGTGCTATGGCTCTAAGCCTCACAACCCATTTACTTTGCTCAATATATAAACCCTGAAGAGGATCCAATGAACTGAGGGAAGAAAACGATCTTCCTTCTCTTTTCCCTTGGGGTATGCTCTAGACTTCACATGATAGTTGCTGCATTCTTAACCTTACCAAAAAACTCAAGGTAGGTCATTGTATGAGGATAAATATCAGATTTATTCAGTGCTAGTATGAAGGTATAAAATAAACAATGATCTATTTCCGTTTTGACTTTTATCAGGGGATACAAAATGTACTGATAAAAATTAAAATTATAAGCACACGATAGTTTCGGTTATTGGATTCTCCTAATGCTTTCATAGATGTTTCTTTTATTAAACAGAGTCATATTAACTATAAGATGCGGGATAAAGAAGTATAGTTGTCAAGCAAACAGTTATGGAGTAGAAGCAATTGTTAACTTGTTTTTCTTTTCAAAGCTTAATGTTTTCAGGAACTATGAATCATTTAAGAAGAGATTTTATTCAATAATGAGATGACATGTCACAGTTATTTTTTCTTTAATGTTTTTAAAAATGCCTGTGCAAAGTAAACCAGATACTTAAAATAATGGAAGGTTTTGAGAAAAGTTAGTGACCATATAATTTTTTTAATATACAGTTCCTAAAATAACTTAATAAACATTGAATTTTTTTTTCTTTTATTATTATACTTTAAGTTTTAGGGTACATGTGCACATTGTGCAGGTTAGTTACATATGTATACGTGTGCCACGCTGGTGTGCTGCACCCACTAACTCGTCATCTAGCATTAGGTGTATCTCCCAATGGTATCCCTCCCCCCTCCCCCAACCCCACAACAGTCCCCAGAGTGTGATGTTCCCCTTCCTGTGTCCATGTGATCTCATTGTTCAATTCCCACCTATGAGTGAGAATATGCGGTGTTTGGTTTTTTGTTCTTGCTATAGTTTACTGAGAATGATGATTTCCAATTTCATCCATGTCCCTACAAAGGACATGAACTAATCATTTTTTATGGCTGCATAGTATTCCATGGTGTATATGTGCCACATTTTCTTAATCCAGTCTATCATTGTTGGACATTTGGGTTGGTTCCAAGTCTTTGCTATTGTGAATAGTGCCACAATAAACATACGTGTGCATGTGTCTTTATAGCAGCATGATTTATAGTCCTTTGGGTATATACCCAGTAATGCGATGGCTGGGTCAAATGGTATTTCTAGTTCTAGATCCCTGAGGAATCGCCACACTGACTTCCACAATGGTTGAACTAGTTTACAGTCCCACCAACAGTGTAAAAGTGTTCCTATTTCTCCACATCCTCTCCAGCACCTGTTGTTTCCTGACTTTTTAATGATTGCCATTCTAACTGGTGTGAGATGGTATCTCATTGTGGTTTTGATTTGCATTTCTCTGATGGCCAGTGATGATGAGCATTTTTTCATGTGTTTTTTGGCTGCATAAATGTCTTCTTTTGAGAAGTGTCTGTTCATGTCCTTTGCCCACTTTTTGATGGGGTTGTTTGTTTTTTTCTTGTAAATTTGTTTGAGTTCATTATAGATTCTGGATATTAGCCCTTTGTCAGATGAGTAGGTTGCAAAAATTTTCTCCCATTTTGTAGGTTGCCTGTTCACTCTGATGGTAGTTTCTTTTGCTGTACAGAAGCTCTTTAGTTTAATTAGATCCCATTTGTCAATTTTGTCTTTTGTTGCCATTGCTTTTGGTGTTTTAGACATGAATTTTACCAAGTTTCCAAGTTATTTTAAAATCAGTGTTGATGGGCATGCATACATTTTATGTTTCTTTCATTAACATATATATTATAATTAGTATTCTGCTTTTTCCAGTTAACATTATTTATGTTATGGGTTTCCATGCATCAACCTAGTTTATATGCTTATTGTTTTAGTAAAAGTAATAGTATTAGTAGTAATAGAAATAATAGTGGTGATGATGATAACTAACATCAGTCAAGTGCCAAGCATTGTACTAACTAATGTATATTATCTCATCTAATAATCATAGTATTTCATGTGTTGTCATATCATATTTAGCCATTTTGAATATTTGAGACTTTCTAATTTATCATTAGTATAAAAAGCACAACTATATAAGTGTTAATAAAGAATAACTTTTGAATATGGAATAGTATTATTTTCTTAGATTTTATTACCTATGGTAGAATTAAAGGATATAAGTAGCTTTAGAATTAAAGGATATGACTGATGTATCCTAATGTACCATCTTTCCTCTCTCAAATTAACACTATTGAAAAATTAAATTAGGCCATGTGTGGTGGCTCATGCCTGTAATTCCAGCACTATAGGAGGCTGAGGTGGGTGGATCACGTGAGGCCAGGAGTTCTAGACCAGCCTGGCCAACTTGGCAAAACCCTGTCTCTACTCAAAATACAAAAATTAGCCGGCCATGGTGGCGCATGCCTGTAATCTCAGCTACTCAGGAGGTTGAGGCACAAGAATTGCTTGAACCTGGGAGGCTGAGGTTGCAGTGAGCCAAGATTGCCACTGCACTCCAGCCTGAGTGACAGAGTGAGACTCTGTATCAAAAAATAAAAATAAAATTAATACTTATCATTTCCATGCATGTTATTATAGGAACACTGCATATCTATATATATACTTATACATAATATATGCTATAGTCTTTGCATGTTTTAAAACATTATATAAAAATAGTACATAGTGTGTTGCCTTCTGTGGCTTCATTTTTTTTCTGTTCAATATGCTGTCAATATTAACTTTCAGTAAGAATATGGTTGTTATTCTAATTTTTCCCCAATACTTAGATTGTCTCCAATATTTAAGTCACTTCCAATAGTTTGCTATTACAAATATTTTTAAGTGAATAATTTTCATGTGACTCATTCTATGCACATGGAAATATTAGATCGTAAGCATGTGCATCTTTAACTTGTCAGGACATTTCAAATGCTCTTAGGATGTTGCATCAATTTACATGCTAACATCTGTATATGACTGCTTCCATTTTTCACATCCTCACCAGTCCTTGGTAATAGGAGTTTTTGTTGTTACTGCTTTTTCTCAACCTAATGGTTATAAGATGCATCTTGCTATTGCCTTAATTTGGATTGCACTAATTTCTAGTTGTGCCAGAGACACTGAATATCCATGTGTTTCCCAGCCCCTTTGCAGTTAGGTCGGGCCAGTCAACTACTTTGGGTCAATATAGTGTTACTTCAGGAGAGAATCCAAAAGCTTGTGCGTAACTCTTGAACTGTTTCTTTTTTTTTTTTTTTTTGAGACGGAGTCTCGCTCCATCAGCCTGGCTGGAGTGCAGTGGCGCGATCTCGGCTCACTGCAGCTCCGCCTCCCGGGTTCACGCCATTCTCCTGCCTCACCCTCCCGAGTAGCTAGCTGTAGGTGGGACTACAGGCGCCCGCCACCACGCCCGGCTTATTTATTTATTTATTTATTTATTTATTCATTCATTCATTCATTCATTGAGACAGAGTCTGGCTCTGTCGCCCAGGCTGGAGTGCAGTGGCACAATCTCGGCTCACTGCAAGCTCCGCCTCCTGGGTTCACGCCATTCTCCTGTCTCAACCTCCTGAGTAGCTGGGACTACAGGCGCCCGCCACCACGCCCAGCTAATTTTTTGTATTTTTAGTAAGACGGGGTTTCACCGTGTTAGCCAAGATGGTCTCAATCTCATGACCTCGTGATCCGCCCGCCTTGGCCTCCCAAAGTGCTGGGATTAAAGGCGTGAGCCACTGCACCCAGCCTGAACTGTTTCTTATTGTACGGCAGCTGCACAGTGGAGCATGGACCTTTTCGTTTCTTTGTGGAGCAGAGCCCCCTGTCAACCTGTTTTGGATCTGTGTCATGACCAAAAAATAAACCTCTGTTTTGTGAAGCTACTGAGATTTGGGGTTTAATTTGTAAACTCATCATAATCAAGTCTATCCTGATTAATACAAATGGGCAGTTTTTCATATGTTTATGTTGTCATATGTTTATTAAGCTTTGATCATATCTGTGATGATTAATTTGTGTGCTGCTTTCTTCTATCACTGATAGTTTTACTATTGGATTATCACTTTTTTAATGATTTGTAAGAGTTTGTTTGTTAGCTGTTATCAGTTGTATGTATTCAAAGTACCTTTTCTCAGTTTTTTGGTTTTCTTTTCATATTGAATATAGTACCTTTTAATGTATAAAAGATTTTTTTAATATGATCAAATAAATCAATATTGTATCAACTAAAAATAATGTAATATCAGCAAAAAATAATGAGCATTGTTTATTCTTTTTCAAGCCTTTTATCATTTGACTTGTTTTCTTTTTTTCTTTCTTTTGGTTTTGTCCTACTGTGTTGGTAGTGCTTTCAGTACAAGGTTAGGTAAAAGCGGTGATAGCATGCCTCCTTGACTTACTCCCAGATTTTAAGGGAAAATTTCTACATCTGACTTTTAAGTATGATCTTGGCACTTAAAAAAATAATTATTTTAGAATGCCAGACACATAGTGGACCCTTAATAAAGACTTGAAAGTGAACAAATAAATTATTCAACTGCTACTTTTATTTTGTATGAAAGTAGTTGGCGTCAGTATTTTTGTTGTTGTTGTTTCTTTCTTTTAGAAGACAGGGCCAGGTGCAGTGGCTCACGCCTGTAATCCCAGCACTTTGGGAGGCCGAGGCGGGCAGGTCACGAGGTCAGGAGATCGAGACCATCCTGGCTAACATGGTGAAACCCCATCTCTACTAAAAATACAAAAAATTAGCCAGGCGTGGTGGCGGGCGCCTGTAGTCCCAGCTACTCGGGAGGCTGAGGCAGTAGAATGGTGTGAACCCGGGAGGTGGAGCTTGCAGTGAGCCGAGATCTCGCCACTGCACTCCAGCCTGGGTGACAGAGCCAGACTCCGTCTCAAAAAAAAAAAAAAAAAAAAAAAAGACAGGATCTTGCTCTGTCTGGCCCAGGCTGGAGTGCAGCAGCTCAATCTTAGCTCACTGAAACCTCAGCCTCCTGAGTTTAAATGATCTGCCTGCCTCAGACTCCCGAATAGCTTAGACTACAAGTGGCCACCATGCCCAGCTAATTGTTTTATTTTTTGTAGAGACAGGGTCTCACATCATTGTCCAGGTGGGTCTCAAACTCCTGGCTTTAAGCACTCCTCCCACCTCGGCCTCCCAAAGTGCTGGGATTACAGGCTAAGCCACTGTGCCCAGCCAGTATGTTTTTATATCTGTTTTCCTTTATATATCTGCTTATTACTGGGTTTATGACATTTGCTGTGTTTGGTAGTTATGCTTTATGACCTTAAGGAGGCTCTCTCATATCTGTAGTTTGCTAAGAGTTTTTGTCTTAAATGAGTTAAATTTTAGCAATGTTTTCTTCTGCATCTCTTAAGATAATTGTATGGCTTTTCTCTTTTACTCTTTTATTGTGAGGAGTTTTATTGATAGATTCTTCTAACCTTCAACCAAGATTGTATCACTGGAATAAACCAGTTCTCAACCTGGCCTGGATACATATTTTTAAATATCTTATGGGTTTTGAGTAGCTGATTTTTTGTTTAGTATGGTTGTATCCATGTTTCTAAGTGTGTTTTGTTCTACATGCTTTTAGTATAAATGTTGTACAGCCTAATAAAGTGAATTGGAGAGAGTCCCTCTTCTTTTTTTCTTACTCTTTTTCCTTTTTCTTGAGGCAGGTTCTCTCTGTCTCACCCAGGCTGGAGGGCAGTGGCATGATCACAGCTCACTGCAGCCTCAATCTCCCATGTTCGTGCCTCCCAATTCAGCCTCCTGAGTAGCTGGAACTATAGGCATGTGCCACCACACCTGGTTAATTTTTGTTTTTTTTGTAGAGACGTGGTTTTGCCATGTTGTCCAGGCTGGTCTCAAAACTCCTAAGCTCAAGCGATCCACCTGCCTCAGCCTCTCAATGTGCTGAGATTACAGGCATGAGCTGCCGTGCCTGGCCCAAGTCCCTTTTTTCTAATCTCTGAAACAATTTAAGATTGGGACTATCAATTGCTTTAATATTTGGTAGAACGTACTGATAAAACTTTCTGGGTCTGGTAGTGTTTATTGGCTTATTTGTTTTTGATGTTTTTGTTTTTTATTTGTTTTTGGTAAATGGCTTTTAATAATCAATTTCTTTTATGGATATAGGTCTATTCACGTTTCTGTTCTGAATTTGTTTTGATAAGTGTTCTAGGAAATTGTCTATTTTAAGCAATTAAATTTATCAGCATATTTTAATGTTAACTCTTATTTTTAAAATATTCTAGCTGTAGTTACAAACTTCTTTTCATTTGTAGTATTCTCTTTTGAGACCTTCTCTTTTTTGCTCCTGATTGGGCATGCTAGAAATTTGTCTATTTTAATTATACTTTCAGAGAACCAGCTTTTATTTTTGTTGATTCTCTACTGTATGTTTGTTTCCTATTTCATTGATCTCTGATTGTTATTTCCTTTCTTTTCTGCATCTATTGTCCATATAGAGATCTTTGTTTTTTTCTGTCAGCTTTTCCTCCATAGACATATATTTTAAATATGGTACTTATGTGTTGTGATATTGAAGCTTAATTATCAATTCCATGAGTGTATTTGCTGTATCTACTGAAAGTCTCTTTTGAGGTGTTGAGTCTTTCCAGATGCTATAAGCAGTTGTAACCCTAGGCCAAGGAATAAAAGGGACTCTATGAGAGTCTCTAGATCAGTACTGCTGGGAAATCCAGTGCATATCCAGCTTGTTCTCCCTGGTTCGGAGGATCCAGCTTCCTAAGAGACTGGGTTTAGATACCTGACCTGCCCTGGACCTGAATCATCTCCTCTTGTGTATCTTCCCTGCTTTGATAAGCACCCTGAAGCTTAGGCTCAGTTTGAACATTTCATCCCATCTATTGTATGCCAGGTGCTGGGATGCAAAGGTGAACAGCCACTGCCTCTTACCTCAAGGAGCCAGGCTGAGCTGGAGACCAGACAGACATACAGGCAACTAAATGAAAACATCACATGTGCTGGACTGATTTTCTGACCTCCAGTCTACCTTTGGTTTCACCTTCCTATTTGGCCAAGAACCAAATTATCCTGGTTGCCCTCATTTTTCATTAACCCTAAAGTTCTCACTGGCCTCTATGTTCCAGTTTCCCTTCATTTGCTGTGTTCTACAATTATGACCAATGCCTAGCCAAGGTTTTTAATGCTAACTGCTGTAACAAACATCCCCATTATAGTATGGGCTATGTTCAAAATCAGTGTATTTCTCGGTTCTTTCACAGTCTGTTGCAGGTAGAGTGGGATTCCTAGGCAGCAAGACCCTAAGCAGTGATTCTAGTCACAGGCTGCTTCCATCTTCTACTGGTTTCATCTGAAAACATGCCCTCTGAAATGGACACTGAAAAAGAAGATAGAAGGCGTGTGCAAAGTTCACAGGTCCATAACCGCCACAGCACAGAAGTGATACTTATCCCTTCTACTTACATTCCAGAACTCAGTAACATTCTTGGAAGTCTGGGAAATGTCATCTTCCAGTGAGCACAGGAAGAGGGAATGAAATAGGAGTTGATGAATACATAGTATTATTGCCACAACTCACCCTCCTGTTTGCCACCTATATTTTTCCATTTCTTTTATCATGCAAGAAACACATTTACTCCCTCTACAAAGATGAAAATCCAAAGAACCAAGCAGTCATTACAACCAGCTTACAAGACCAGAATTTCCTGATAATACATGAGTACTCCATCTGGTCTAGACATGGCTCTTCTTGGTCTGAGGATCTATGAAATAAAAAGACGAATTGCCTGTCCCTCCCTCCACACACATATTGCCATATACAAATCAGACAGCATAACCACACTCAACAATCCCATTCACACTTCAGCAGTATACAAATGGGACAGTATAACCACATTCAACAATGCCATTCACACTTCAGTACACAAACACACACACGCACAGAAAGTAGTGGAGGCTCCCTGATTAGACCTAAATTCTGTTTTCTGTGAGGAATTCCATTGCCTGTTTTCTTTCTGGCTGCTGCCTTCACCCCTGCGATTCCCCTCCTTGTCATTATTCCCCTGGGAGTGGGTATAGGGAGTGTGTTCCTTCAACTATGCAGCTTTCCTACTGTTCATGAAAGTCTGGTGACTCGAGGAATTTTTTTTTTTTTTTTTTTTTGGAGACGGAGTCTCGCTCTGTCGCCCAGGCTGGAGCGCAGTGGCACAATCTCGGCTCACTGCAAGCTCCGCCTCCCGGGTTCACAGCATTCTCCTGCCTCAGCCTCCTGAGTAGCTGGGACTGCAGGTACCCGCCAACACACCCGGCTAATTTTTTTTTTTTTTTTAGTATTTTTAGTAGAGACGGGGTTTCACTGTGATAGCCAGGATGGTCTCGATCTCCTGACCCGTTGATCCGCCCGCCTCGGCCTCCCAAAATTCTGGGATTACAGGCGTGAGCCACCGTGCCTGGCCTCAAGGATTGTTTTAAGCCTTGAACGACAAAGGCTTGTTTAGTCTGGGATGATTTATTTATTTATTTACTTTTAATGATAGTAGTGGTAGTTGCTTAGTTGGTTTGTTGTGGCTTGAAGGAAGTTGACAGTAAGTTCACTCAAAAATGTAAAAATTGACTTTTGATCTGTTTGCTTTCAGTCAGGTCCATGTGCCAGCTATAATACCCAAAGTAGCATTGTCTTTTCCTCTGCCTTTCAAATCTCAAGAGAAATCCTCTCACTGGAAGACATTTACCAGAATCCCACTGGCAGAAGATTCTGGGAAATACAGTTTCTGGGCTTTAAGCCTGGCAGTACAAAGCTATCTTATAAAAATTATATGAAATTATGTTTCAAATAAGCAGAATAAACCATATGTGCTGTTAAATTGATTAGAGCTGGCTTCATGGAGGAGACAGAATTTAAGTAGAAAATTTAAAAAGAAGAACTGGAAACTGGCCAGAGGAAAGATTTCAGTTAGAATGACATAAGCAAAGAGTATAAGGAGAAAATGAGCATCATATGCTTTGAGCAGAGTTGATAGACCAGTCTATAATGGGTAGAAGGTTGATGAAGGGAAGTATTAGAAGATAAATTCTGAAAAATAGGCTGCAGCCAAATTGTAGAGTGGTTTGATTTTTAAATCTTGCATAAAGATTGCCTTGCTGTCTGACAAAATTTACTAAACAAAATCAAGAGCAAACAAACATAAAACAAATTTAAAGAATAAAGGGAAATTTATTTTCTTGTCTCAGAGAGGTTTTAGAAAAATAACAAGAAAGGCACATATGGACCAGGCACGGTGGCTCACGCCTGTAATCCCAGCACGTTGGGAGGCCAAGGCAAGCAGATCACTGGAGGCCAGGAGTTTGAGACCAGCCTGGCCAACATAGTGAAACCCTGTCTCTACTAAAAATACAAAAAAATTAGCTGGGCATGGTGGCACGCATCTGGAATCCCAGCTATTTGGGAGGCTAAGGCAAGAGAATCACTTGATCCCTCGAGGCAAAGGCTGCAGTGAGCTGAGATCATGCTACTGCACTCCAGCCTGGGCAACAGAGGGAGACTCTGTCTCAAAAAAAAAAAAAAGAAAGAAAGAAAGGTACATATGTGAACCAAATGATAATTACCAGAGAGTTATTTTTTCCTGGGTCAGATGACTAGAGAATGAAAGCTCTTTGGCTTCAAAGCCTTACAAAAGCAACTGTCACTTAATAGTAATGTATCCTTGAGCTCATTATGGAATATTTAGTTATCTCAGTATTCTAAAATTTTTCTGTTTGCAGTTTGTCTTCAATTGGATTTTTCAAAAATTTATTTCTTTATTTATTTATTATTTCAATAGGTTTTTGGGGGAACAGGTGGTGTTTGGTTACATGAACAAGTTCTTTAGTGGTGATTTCTGAGATTTTGGTGCACCTATTACATGAACAGTGTACACTGTACCCAATGTGTAGTCTCGCCCCCTCCCACTCTTTCCCCAAGTCCCGAAAGTCCGTTGTATCATTCTTATGCCTTTGCATCCTCAGAGCTTAGCTCCCACTTATGAATGAGAACATACGATGTTTGATTTTCCATTCCTGAGTTACTTCAATTTAGAATAATGGTCTCTAATTCCATCCAGGTTGTTGCGAATGCCATTATTTTGTTCCTTTTTATGGCTGAGTAGTATTCCATGGGTAATATATATATCATAATTTCTTTCTTTTTTTTTTTGAGATAGAGTTTCACTCTTGTGGCCCAGGCTGGAGTGCAATGGCATGATCTCAGCTCACTGCAACCTCCACCTCCCGGGTTCAAGTGATTCTCGTGCTTCAGCCTCCCGAATAGCTGGGATTACAGGCATGCGTCACCATGCCCAGCTAATTTTTGTATTATTAGTAGAGACGGGGTTTCACCATGTTGGCCAGGCTGTTCTCAAACTCTTGACCTCAAGTGATCCACCCACTTCAGCCTCCCAAAGTGCTGGGATTATAGGCGTGAGCCACTGCACCAGGCCTATATACCATAATTTCTTTCTTTTTTTTTTCTTTTTAAGATGGAGTCTCACTCTTGTCATCCAGGCTGGAGTGCAGTGGTGCGATCTTGGCTCACTGCAACCTCTGCCTCCTGGGTTCAAGCAATTCTCCTGCCTCAGCCTCCTGAGTAACTGGGACTACAGGTGCATGCCACCACGCCTGGCTAATTTTGTAATTCTAGTAGAGATGGGGTTTCACCATGTTGGCCAGGCTGGTTTCAAACTCCTGACCTCAGGTGATCTGCCTGCCTCGGCCTCCCAAAGTGCTGGGATTACAGGTGTGAGCCACCACACCCAGCCACCAAAATTTCTTTATCCACTCGTTGATTGATAGGCATTTGGGCTGGCTCCATATTTTTGCAATTGCAAATTGTGCTGCTATAAACATGCGTGTGGAAGTATTACTTTTGTTTAATGATTTATCTTCCTCTGGGTAGATACCCAGTAGTGGGATTGCTGGATCAAATGGTAGATCTACTTTTAGTGCTTTAAGGAATCTCCACACTGTTTTCCATAGTAGTTGTACTAGTGTTCATTCCCACCAGCAGTGTAAAAGTGTTCCATTTTCACCACATCCATGCCAACGTCTATTTTTTTTTTTTATTTTTTGCTTATGGCCATTCTTGCAGGAGTAAGGTGGTATCACGTTGTGGTTTTGATTTGCATTTCCCTGGTCATTAGTGATGTTGAGCATTTTTTCATATGTTTATTGGCCATTTGTATATCTTCTTTTGAGAATTGTCTATTCATGCCTTTAGCCCACTTTTTGATGGGATTGTGTGATTTTTTTTTTTTTTTGCTAATTTGTTTGGATCCTTGTATATTCTGGATATTAGTCCTTTGTCAGATGTATAGATTACAAAGATTTTCTCCCACTCTGTGGGTTGTCTGCTTACTCTGCTGATTGTTTCTTTTGCTGTGCAGAAGCTTTTTAGTATAATTAGGTCCCATCTATTTATCTTTGTTATTGTTGCATATGCTTTTGGGTTCTTGGACATGAAGTCTTTGCCTAAGCCAATGTCTAGAAGGGGTTTTCCAGTGTCACCTTCTAGAATTTTTGTGGGCTCAGGTCTTAGATTTAAGTTTTTGATCCATCTTGAATTGATTTTTGTAAAAGGTGAGAGATGAGGATCTGGTTTCATTCTTCTACATGTGGCTTGCCAATTATCCCAGCACTATTTGTTGAGTAGGGTGTCCTTTCTCCACTTTATCTTTTAGTTTGCTTCATTGAAGATCCATTGGCTGTATTTGGCATTATTTCTGGGTTCTCTATCCTGTTTCATTGGTCTATGTGCCTATTTTTATACCACTACTATGCTGTTTTGGTGACTATGGCCTTATAGTATAGTTTGAGGTTGGGTAATGTGATGCCTCTAGATTTGTTCTTTTTGCTTAGTTTTGGATTGGCCATTCAGGCTCTTTTTTGGTTCCTTTGGTTCCATATGAATTTTCAGATTTTTTTTTCTGGTTCTGTTAAGAACAATTGGTGGTATTTTGATGGGAATTACATTGAATTTGTAGATTGCTTTTGGCAGTATGGTCATTTTCACAATATTGATTCTACCTATCCAAGAGAAGAGGATGTGTTTCCATTTGTTTGTGCCATCTATGATTTCTTTCAGCAGTGTTTTGTAGTTTTCCTTGTAGAGGTCTTTCACCTCCTTGTTTAGATATATTCCTAAGTATTTGATTTTATTTTTTTACAGCTATTCTAAAAGGGGTTGAGTTCTTGCTTTTATTCTCAGTTTGGTTGCTGTTGGTGTATAGCACAGCTACTGATTTGTGTGCATTAATTTTGTTTCCTGAAACTTTGCTGAATTCATTTATCAGTTCTAGGAGCTTTTTGGAGGACTCTTTAGGGTTCTTAGATATACAATCAGATCATCAGCAAACAGCGACAGTTTGATTCCTCTTCAGCAGTTTGGTTCCGCTTTCTTTCTTTCTCTTGTCTAATTGCTCTGGCTAGGACTTCCAGTACTATGTTGAATAGAAGTGAAGAGAGTGGGATCCTTGTCTTGTTTCAGTTCTTAGGGAGAATGCTTTCAACTTTTCCTCATTCAGTATAATGTTGGCTGTGGGTTTGTCCTAGATGGTTTTATTACGTTAAGGTATGCCTCTTCTATGCCAGTTTTGCTGAGGGTTTTAATAATAAAGCGATGATGGATTTTGTCAAATACTTTTTGTGCCTCTATTGAGCTGATCATGTGATTTCTGGTTTTAATTCTGTTTATGTGGTGTATCACATTTATTGACATGCATATGTTAAGCCATCTCTGCATCCCTGGTGTGAAACCCACTTGATCATAGTGGGTTATCTTTTTGATATGCTGTTGGATTTGGTTAGCTTAAGGATTTTTGCATCTGTGTTCATCAGGGATATTGGTCTGTTGTTTTCTTTTTTTTGTTATGTCCTTTCCTGGTTTTGGTATTAGGGTGATACTGGCTTCATAAAATGATATTGGGAGGATTCCTTCCTTCTCTATCTTGTGGAATAGTGTCAATAGGATTGGTACCAATTCTTCTTTGAATGTCTGACAGAATTCAGCTGTAAATCCATCTTTTCCTGGACTTTTTTTTTGGCAATTTTTAATTAGCATTTCAATCTTGCTGCTTGTTATTCATCTGTGCAGAGTTTCTAGTTCTTCCTAGTATAATCTAGGAGGGTTGTCTGTTTCCAGAAATTTATCCATCTCCTCTTGGTTTTCTAGTTTATGTGTGTAAACGTGTTTATCGTAGCCTTCAATGATCTTTTGTATTTCTGTGGTAATTTCAATTGTAATACCTCTCGTTTCATTTATAATTGAACTTATTTGGATCTTCTCTCTTTTTGTGGTTAGTCTCACTAATGGTCTATCAATTTTATTTATGTTTTGAAAGAACCAGGTTTTTGTTTCATTTATCTTTTGTATTTTTGTTTGTTTCTATTTCATTTAGTTCTGCTCTGATCTTCATTATTTCTTTTCTTCTGCTGGGTTTGAGTTTAGTTTGTTCTTGTTTCTCCAGTTCCTTGAGGTGTGACCTTAGATTGTCTCTTTGTTCTCTTTCAGACTTTTTGATGTAGGCATTTAAGGCTATGAACTTTCCCCTTAGCACCACCTTTGCTGTATTACAGAGGTTTTGATAGGTTGTGTCACTATTATCATTGAGTTCAATGAATTTTTTAATTTCCATCTTGATTTCATTGTTGGCCCAATGATCATTCAGGAGCAGATTGTTAAATTTCCATGTATTTGCATGGTTTTGAAGGTTCTTTTGGAGTTGATTTCCAATTTTATTCCACTGTGGCTTGAGAGCATACTTGATATATTTCAATCTTCTTAAATTTACTGATACTTGTTTTGTGGCTTATCGTGTGGTCTATCTTGGAGAATGTTCCATGTGTTGATGAATAGAATGTATATTCTCTAGTTGTTTAGTAGAATGTTCTGTAAATATCTTTTAAGTCTATTTGTTTTAAGGTATAGTTTAAATCCAGTGTTTCTTTGTTAACTTTCTGTCTTGATGACCTGTCTAGTCCTGTCAGTGGAATATTGAAGTCTCTGACTATTATTGTATTGCTGTCTATCTTATTTCTTAGGTGTAGTAGTAATTATTTTATAAATTTGGGAGCTCCAGTGGTAGATACATTTATATTTAGGATTGTGATATTTTCCTGTTGAACAAGTCCTTTAATCATTATATAATGTCCCTCTGTCTTTTTTAACTGCTATTGCTTTAAAGTTTGTTTTGTCTGATATAAGAATAGCTACTCCTGCTTGTTTTGTTGTCCATTTGCATTAAATATCTTTTTCCAACCCTTTACATTAAGTTTATGTGAGTCTTTATGTGTTAGGTGAGTCTCTTGAAGATAGCAGATAGTTGGTTGGTGAATTCTTATCCATTCTGCCATTGTGTGTATTTTAAGTTGAGCATTTATGCCATTTACATTCAACATTAGTATTGAGATGTGAGGTACTGTTCTATTCATCATGCTGTTTGTTGCCTGAAGACCTTGTTTTTTTTTTTTCCATTGTGTTTTTGTTTTGTAGGTGGTATGAGATTTATGCTTTAAGGAGGTTCTATGTTGGTATATTTTCAAAATTTAGAGCTCCTTTTAGCCTTTCTTGTAGTGCTGGCTTGGTAGTGGTGAATTATCTCAGCATTGTCTGAAAAAGATTGTATTGTCTGAAAAAGACAATACAGCATTGTCTGAAAAAGTCCGTAACTTTCCTTCCTTTATGAAGCTTAGTTTCACTGGATACAAAATTCTTGGCTGATAATTACTTTGTTTAAGCAGTCTAAAGATAAGCCCCAATCCCTTCTAGCTTGTAGGGATTCTGCTGAGAAATCTGCAGTTAATCTGATAGGTTTTCCTTTAGAGGTTAACTAATGCTTTTGCCTCACAGCTCTTAATTTTCTTTCCTTCATCCTGACTTTAGATTACCTTATGATTATGTGCCTAGGTGATGATCTTTTCATGATAAATTTCCCAGATGTTCTTTGAGATTCTTGTATTTGGATATCTAGATCTCTAGCAAGGCCAGGGAAGTTTTCCTCGGTTATTCCCTCAAATATGTTTTCCCAAGTTTTAGATTCATCATCTTCCTCGGGAACAACAATTATGGTTAGGTTTGGTCATTTAACATAATCCCAAAATTATTGAAGTCTTTTTTCATTTTTTTTAAATTCTTTTTTCTTTGTCTCTGTTGGATTGAGTTAATTTGAAAGCCTTTACTTTGACCTCTGAAATTCCTTCTTCTACCTGTTTGATTCTATCGCTGACACGTTCCAGTATATTTTACATTTCTCTAAGTGTGTCCTTCATTTCCAGAAGTTGTGATTGTTTTTTATTTATGCTATCTATTTCACTGAAGATTTTTCCCTTCATATGTTATATCATTTTTTTTGTTTCATTAAGTTAGACTTCACCTTTCTGTAGTGCCTCCTTGATTAGCTTATTAATCAACCTTCTGAATTCTTTTTCTGGCAATTCAGAGATTTCTTCTTGTTTTGGATCAATTCCTGGTGAGCTAGCATGATCTCTTGGGGGTGTTAAAGAACCTCGTGTTGTTATATTACCAGAATTGTTTTTCTGTTTCCTTCTCATTTGGGTAGACTATGTCAGAGGGAAGATCTGGAGCTCAAGGTCAGCTGTTTATATGCTTTTTTCCCATGGGGTGTTCCCTTGATGTGGTGCTCTCCCCCTTCCCCTAAGGATGTGGCTTTCTGAGAGCTGAACTGCTGTGATTGTTACTCCTTTTCTGGATCTAGCCACCCAGTGGAGCTACCAAGCTCCAGGCTAGTACTGGGAGTGTCTGCACAGAGTCCTGTGATGTGAACTGTTTTTAGGTCTCTCAGACATGGATACGAGCCCCCACTTAAGTGAAAGTAGCAGGAGAGTGAAGTGAGCTCTGTGAGAGTCCTTAGTTGTAGTTTTGTTTATTGGGCTAGTTTTATTTGGTTGGCTTCCAGCCAGGAGGTGGCAGTTTCAAGAGAGCATTAGCTGTGGCAGTATAGGGAGGATTAGGCGGTGGGCAGCGCCATAGAGCTCCCAAGAAATTATGTCCATTGTCTTCAGCTACCAGGGCTGGTGGAGAAAGACCATCAGGTGGGGGCAGGGTTAGGCTCAGACTCTTCTTGGGCGGGACTTGCTGTGGCTGCTGTCGGGGATAGGGGCATGGTTCTCAGGCCAATGGAGTTATGTTCCTAGGGGAATTATGGCTGCCTCTGCTGCCTCATTCAGGTCCCCAAGGGAGTGGGGAAAAGCCAGCAGTTACAGGCCTCACTCACCTCCCACGCAGCCCAAAAGGCCAGTCTCACTCCCACTGTGCCCCCCCCCCCCCCGCCCCCCACCGCACCACCCGCAACAGCTCTGAGTTTATTTCCAGGCAGCTGCTAAACAGGGCTGAGAATTTGCCCCAGGCTGCCAGCCTCCCGGCTGAGAAAGCAAGCAGGGCTTTCATGGTTTGCACCTCCCCACCTGCCATGGCTTCTGTGCTGTGTCTGCACTCCTGATTCCAATGCCCCCTTCCTCAGATTCTGTCCAGGAAACTCTGCGTTCGGTGGAAATTGTTGTGAAGTTCAGCTAGAAGGTTCCTTCTCCCTGTGGTTTTTTTTCCCAGTTCCTTTGGCAGTCCTGCCCAAGGACCCCTATGAGACAAAGTCAGAAATGGCTTCCCTGTGGACCAAGAGTGCCCACAGAGCTCTTCCTGCTGCTTCCTCTACTCTGATATTTCGCTTGGCTCTCTAAATTTGTCTCAGCTCCAGGTAAGGTCAAACCTTCTCCTGTCATCTGGACCTTCAGGTTTCCCAGTGAGGGTGTGTGTTCGGGGCTGGACGGTTCGCCTTTCACACTTTCACACTTTGGGCTCTCAGAATTTTTCAGCTGTCTCCTGGAGCCTACAGCAGCAATCCACTTCCTTCAAAGGGTCTGTGGCTTCTCTTGGCTTTCCTGCTATGTCCCTGTGGTAGTTCTAGGAGCAAAAGTTCACAGTGTGAGTCTCCACATGCTGCTCTCTCCTTCTAAGTCGGAGCTTCCCTTGGATTTTATATTTTCAGTATTCTAATTTATTAGAGAGGAATAATAATATATAATAATAATATAGGTAGGTGTGACTTAAGTATTTACTCTATGCTAAACACTGAAAAATACTTCTCATATTACTTCATTAAATGCTCACAACACTATAGAATAAAAATTCAGCCTGAATAGTCTTGGTTATACTTCAGTAATAAACAATCCCATTATCTTAATGGCTTAAGACAACATTTTTTTTTCTTGCTCATGCTGCCTGCCCAATTTAGATTAACAGGGAGACTCTGCTCTTGCTGGTCACTCAGGCACCTGGCCTGACAGAGCAGCCCCTCGCAAATGTAACCAGTTATTGTACCCAAGGAAAAGGAAAGAGTTCTGTAGGACCTTGCAGTAACAATGAAATGCTCTGGTGGTCCAGAAGTAACTCCATTCCTTCTGCTCAGAACCCATTGGCCAGAGCTAATCACATGCCGCACCTCCATCCCCAGGCCCACAATCAGACAGTGAGTACAACCCTAGGATGTGCCTAGAAGGAAGGATGGCTTTACCAGTATTTGGTGAACAGCAGTAACATTCTACCATATTTTCCTTCTTCTTTTTTTTTTAATAGGTAAGAAAGCAGGCTTAGAGAGACTAGTTAACTTAACCAAGATTGTGCATATAATACATATCAGATATATTTGATGCTAAAGCATGAACTCTTTACCCTTATATTACTTCCCACTTTTCTAGTCTTATATGCTATAGCATGTTATACTACCTGCTTTGCAGAGTTTTTGTGAGAATCAAAGATACTAATAATAGATGTAAATAATTGGGTGTACTGCCTGGAACTTAGTAAGCATCTAGGGATTAGTGAAAGGGTCTTTTTTGTTCTTACCTCTTAACCTGTGTCTCACAGCGTTTCTTAAGTGCTAAAGCTCTATATTGCTTTTATAGTGGCTGTATTAATTGTTCTCCATCATGACAGCAGCTATTCTCAGCTACCAATATTAGATGTGTTTTATATATAAAGGTGTCTGATTGCACACAACTTATTCCCAACATTCATTCTAAAGACCGTTTTATATATCAACCATGCTGTTTAGAATATAGTTTCCTATCAGGCCAGCCTACCAAACTCACAAAGTAATTAGCTAAATAGACTTTAGTAGGATATCCTAGGAATCTAACACCTTACCTACAATGTGGATATTGCTGTGGAAAATTACATGTTGAGTTTCATACTATCAGGCTCCATAAGTTTGTACTTTGTGCTCATTGTGATAACAGATGTTTATTCAGTCCCCTACACTATTAGGTGCAGATGTCCAGTCTACTGGGGACTCTTGTACCCAGAATTTATGGGCCTTAAATTGCCTATAAATGCTAGAGAAGATTCTTAAGGCAATCACTAAATATTGTGTTAATTCTCACAATCCTAAATTATTAGCTGTACCTAGTAATTATATTGAAAACCAATATTGAGAATGTTCAAGTTTACTTTTATGCCAAGTGTTAATGGAATGAATTTTAAATAAGAAAACAAAGTTCTATTTGTAGAATATAGTTTTTTGACTCCTTTAAATTGATTTATTAAAATAACTGTATTTTCTAATTTTAGACATGATAAGCAGAAAATAAACAGGCTCATTAATCCATGTCTAGAAGAGGAAAAAAATGCATTACCAGTATAGTGCTCTCAATGACTTTAATTCCTATTTCTAAATTAAAGAAATTAATGCTTTGATAAACAATCCTTTTACAGAAATAGAATCTCAAAAAGTACCAAATTTCTTTTTTTTTTTTTTTTTTTTTTTTTTTTTGAGATGGAGTCTCACTCTGTCGCCCAGGCTGGAGTGCAGTGGCGCAATCTCGGCTCACTGCAAGCTCCGCCTCCCGGGTTCACACCATTCTCCTGCCTCAGCCTCCTGTAGCTGGGACTACAGGCACCCGCCACCACGCCTGGCTAATTTTTTGTATTTTTTAGTAGAGACGGGGTTTCACCGTGTTAGCCAGGATGGTCTTGATTTCCTGACCTCGTGATCCGCCCGCCTCGGCCCTTCCAATGTGCTGGGATTACAGGCGTGAGCCACCGCGCCCAGCCAAAAAGTACCAAATTTCTTTAACTATAATGTTTTACTCCCCAGGAGGGAGTGTGTCAGAAAATGTTCACAAAGAGAAAGAATTTGTTCATTTCACTAAATAAACTCAGAATGAGCACCACCATTGATCCCACTGCGAGGGGCCTTGTTAAGGGCTATGTACAATATAAGAGGTGGGAAGTAGAAGATTCAAGGAGAAAGTTGAGGTAGACTGAGGACTTTGAATAGGAGATTGGTACTCATAAATTTAAATCTTATTAGAAAACAATGGGGAGCTACTAAAGATATTTTAGTTAACTTTTCTTCATTATAGATGTGAAATAGCATTGCAACAAAGCAAAAACCAAAAATAGACAGTAGAGGAAAGAAACAAAGAGCCAACCTGCCTTTCTCTGCCACTATTAATTACTCTTAGCATTTTGATGTATGATATTTTACCTCTTTTCCTACACCTATGTGAATATATTTAAGAAAGATATATTCAAATTTTGCAAGCATTTTGTTTTCTGTTTTTTCCCCTTAACATATTGTTATAAGGACTTTCTACAATAATTCAGGCTTCATAATAATAATGATGGTCATTCCCAGACTGCTGTATTTCAGATGTTTTTAGTGTTACAATGTTATTCAGTATGATAAATACTGTTTGGTCAAACAATTTTGGCATAAGATTCATTTCTTAGAATTATTTCCTCAGGTTAGATTGCCAGATTCAGTAGTTCAAAGGTTATAAACATATTTATGGTGTTTAAACCTATCAGTAAATTAAATTTTTGCTAAAGAATTACAAAAATTTACTCTGCCACTAAAAAACATAACGGTATCAGTTGCATACATCAGACTCAGTATTAGGCATTATAATTAAAACTTGTATATGAGCAAAAGCACCAAAAAGAAGACCCTGTTCTGAATTTATAACTTTATTGATAATGAAATTCTGCGTATTTCCATATGTAAGCTTACAATTTATATTTTCTATTTTGTGAAATATTTTCCAGTTCAATGTATTTTTCCCATTTAGTTCTCAATCATAATCTCAGTGTTCTCACTTAAGTAGCTATGTGAATTAATTATATTTTAAAAATATTGGCAGTGATTGTTAATAAAGAAGTGACGCGGTCTGGGCGCGGTGGCTCACGCCTGTAATCCCAGCACTTTGGGAGGCTGAGGCGGGTGGATCACGAGGTCAGGAAATCGAGACCATCCTGGCTAACATGGTGAAACCCCATCTCTACTAAAAATACAAAAAATTAGCTGGGCGTGGTGGCAGGCACCTGTAGTCCCAGCTACTTGGGAGGCCGAGGCAGGAGAATGGCATGAACTCGGGAGGCAGAGCTTGCAGTGAGCCGAGATTGAGCCACTGCACTCCAGCCTCGGCGACAGAGCGAGACTCTGTCTCAAAAAAAAAAGAAGTGATGTGACCAGGGGGTAGGTGTATATTAAGAAGACAAATCTGACTATGATCCTATAGAATGGATTTTAGAACAGAATGACCAATAAGAAAAAAATTCTGTTTTACATCGTTTTTTATTATTATGTTAGTCTGATATTGGGCAGAGTTGCTTTTTATTCCTCCATTTCACTGATACTACAGAGTGGTGATAGTGTACTTTTCACAAACTATCTTCTTCTCCAGTTAAAATTTTGGTCATTGCTGTTCATTTTTTTTCTTTTTGCTTTTAAGCTTGCATTAGAATGCAATTCTTTTTTTATTATTATTATACTTTTAAGTTCTAGGGTACATGTGCACAATGTGCAGGTTGGTTACATATGTATACATGTGCCATGTTTGTGTGCTGCACCCATTAACTCGTCATTTGCATTAGGTATTTCTCCTAATGCTATCCCTCCCCCAGCCCCCCATCCCAGGACAGGCCCTGGTGTGGGATGTTCCCCACCCTGTGTCCAAGTGTTCTCATTGTTCAGTTCTTACCTATGAGTGAGAACATGCGGTGTTTGGTTTTCTGTCCTTGCGATAGTTTGCTGAGAATGATGGTTTCCAGCTTCATCCGTGTCCCTAGAAAGGACATGAATTCATCCTTTTTTGTGGCTGCATAGTATTCCATGGTGTATATGTGCCACATTTTCTTAATCCAGTCTATCATTGTTGGACATTTGGGTTGGTTTCAAGTCTTTGCTATTGTGAATAGTGCCGCAATAAACATACGTGTGCAAGTATCTTTATAGTAGCATGATTTATAATCCTTTGGGTATATATCCAATAATGAGATCACGGGGTCGAATGGTATTTCTAGTTCTAGATCCTTGAGGAATCACCACACTGTCTTCCACAATGGCTGAACTAGTTTACAGTCCCACCAACAGTGTAAAAGTGTTCCTATTTCTCCACATTCTCTCCAGCACCTGTTGTTTCCTGACTTTTTAATGATCGCCATTTTAACTGGTGTGAGATGGTATCTCATTGTGGTTTTGATTTGCATTTCTCTGATGACCAGTGATGATGAGCATTTTTTCATCTGTCTGTTGGCTGCATAAATCTCTTCTTTTGAGAAGTGTCTGTTATAACCTTTGCCCACTTTTTGATGGGGTTGTTTGATTTATTCTTGTAAATTTGTTTAAGTTCTTTGTAGATTCTGGATATTAGCCCTTTGTCAGATGGGTAGATTGCAAAAATTTTCTCCCATTCTGTAGGTTGCCTGTTCACTCTGATGATAGTTTCTTTTGCTTTGCAGAAGCTCTTTAGTTTAACTAGATCCCATTTGTCTATTTCGGCTTTTGTGGCCATTGCTTTTGGTGTTTTATCCATGAAGTCTTTGCCCATGCCTATGTCCTGAATGGTATTGCCTAGGTTTTCTTCTAGGGTTTTTATGGTTTTAGGTCTAACATTTAAGTCTTTAATCCATCTTGAATTAATTTTTGTATAAGATGTAAGGAAGGGATCCAGTTTCAGCTTTCTACATATGGCTAGCCAGTTTTCCCAGCACCATTTATTAAATAGGGAATCCTTTCCCCATTTCTTGTTTTTGTCAGGTTTGTCAAAGATCATATGCTTGTAGATGTGTGGTGTTATTTCTGAGGCCTCTGTTCTGTTCCATTGATCTATATCTCTGTTTTGGTACCAGTACCATGCTGTTTTGGTTACTGTAGCCTTGTAGTATAGTTTGAAGTCAGGTAGCGTGATGCCTCCAGCTTTGTTCGTTTTGCTTAGGATTGTCTTGGCAATGCAGGCTCTTTCTTGGTTCCATATGAACTTTAAAGTAGTTTTTTCCAATTCTGTGAAGAAAGTCATTGGTAGCTTGATGGGGATGGCATTGAATCTATAAATTACCTTGGGCGGTATGGCCATTTTCACAATATTGATTCTTCCTATGCATGAGCATGGAATGTTCTTCCATTTGTTTGTGTCTTCTTTTATTTCATTCAGCAGTGATTTGTAGTTCTCCTTGAAAAGGTCCTTCACGTCCCTTGTCAGTTGGATTCCTAGGTATTTTATTCTCTTTGAAGCAATTGTGAATGGGAGTTCACTCATGATTTGGCTCTCTGTTTGCCTGTTATTGGTATATAGGAATGCTTGTGATTTTTGCACATTGATTTTGTATCCAGAGACTTTGCTGAAGTTGCTTATCAGCTTAAGGAGATTTTGGGCTGAGACGATGGGGTTTTCTAAATATACAATCATGTCATCTGCAAACAGAGACACTTTGACTTCCTCTTTTCCTAATTGAATACTCTTTATTTTTTTCTCTTGCCTGATTTCCCTGGCCAGAACTTCCAACCCTATATTGAATAGGAGTGGTGAGAGAGGGCATCCCTGTCTTGTGCCAGTTTTCAAAGGGAATGCTTCCAGATTTTGCCCATTCAGTATGATATTGGCTGTGGGTTTGTCATAAATAGCTCTTATTATTTTGAGATATGTTCCATCAGTACCTAGTTTATTGAGAGTTTTTCAGCATGAAGCAGTGTTGAATTTTGTCGAAGGCCTTTTCTGCATCTATTGAGATAATCATGTGGTTTTGTCTTTGGTTCTGTTTATGTGATGGATTACGTCTATTGATTTGCGTGTGTTGAACCAGCCTTGCATCCCAGGGATGAAGCCAACTTGATCTTGGTGGATAAGCTTTTTGATGTGCTGCTGGATTCGGTTTGCCAGTATTTTATTGAGGATTTTTGCATCAATGTTCATCAAGGATATTGGTCTAAAATTCTCTTTTTTGTTGTTGTGTCTCTGCCAGGCTTTGGTATCAGGATGATGCTGGCCTCATAAAATGAGTTAGGGAGGATTCCCTCTTTTTCTATTGGAATAGTTTCAGAAGGAATGGTACCAGCTCCTCTTTGTACCTCTGGAAGAATTCGGCTGTGAATCCATCTGGTCCTGGACTTTTTTTGGTTGGTAGGCTATTAATTATTGCCTCAATTTCAGAGGCTGTTATTGGTCTATTCAGCGATTCAACTTCTTCCTGGGTTAGTCTTGGGAGGCTGTATGTGTCCAAGAATTTATCCATTTCTTCTAGATTTTCTAGTTTATTTGCCTAGAGGTATTTATAGTATTCTCTGATGGTAGTTTGTATTTCTGTGGGATCGGTGGTGATATCCCCTTTATCATTTTTTGTTGCATCTATTTGATTCTTCTCTCTTTTCTTCCTTATTAGTCTTGCTAGCAGTCTATCAATTTTGTTGATCCTTTCAAAAAACCAGCTCCTGGATTCATTAATTTTTTGAAGGGTTTTTTTGTGTCTCTATTTCCTTCAGTTCTGCTCTGATTTTAGTTATTTCTTGCCTTCTGCTAGCTTTTGAATGTGTTTGCTCTTGCTTCTCTAGTTCTTTTAATTGTGATGTTAGGGTGTCAATTTTAGATCTTTCCTGCTTTCTCTTATGGGCATTTAGTGCTATAAATTTCCCTCTACACACTGCTTTAAATGTGTCCCAGAGATTCTGGTATGTTGTGTCTTTGTTCTCATTGGTTTCAAAGAACATCTTTATTTCCTCCCTCATTTCATTATTTACCCAGTAGTCATTCAGGAGCAAGTTATTCAGTTTCCATATAGGAGTGTGGTTGTGAGTGAGTTTTTAAATCCTGAGTTCTAATTTGATTGCACTGTGGTTTGAGAGACAGTTTGTTATAATTTCTGTTATTTTACATTTGCTGAGGAGTGCTTTACTTCCAACTATGTGGTCAATTTTTGAATATGTGTGATGTGGTGCTGAGAAGAATGTATATTCTGTTGATTTGAGGTGGAGAGTTCTGTAGATGTCTATTAGGTCTGCTAAGCTGCAGAGCTGAGTTCAAGTCCTGGATATCCTTTTTAATCTTCTGTCTCGTTGATCTGTCTAATATTGACAGTGGGTTGTTAAAACTCTCCCATTATTATTGTGTGGGGGTCTACATCTCTTTGCAGGTGTCTAAGGACTTGCTTTGTGAATCTGGGTGCTCCTGTATTGGGAGCATTTATATTTAGGATAGTTAGCTCTTCTTGTTGAATTGATCCCTTTACCATTATGTAATGGCCTTCTTTGTCTCTTTTGATCTTTGTTGGTTTAAAGTCTGTTTTATCAGAGACTAGGATTGCAACCCCTGCTTTTATTGGCTTTCCATTTGCTTGGTAGATCTTCCTCCATCCCTTTATTTTGAGCCTATGTATGTCTCTGCACGTGAGATGGGTCTACTGAATACAGCACACTGATGGGTCTTGACTCTTTATCCAATCTGTGTCTTTTAATTGGGGCATTTAGCTTATTTACATTTAAGGTTAATATTGTTATGTGTGAATTTGATCCTGTCATTATGATGTTAGCTGGTTATTTTGCCCGTTGGTTGATGCAGTTTCTCCTAGCATCAATGGTGTTTACAATTCGTCATATTTTTGCAGTGGCTGGTACTGGTTGTTCCTTTCCATGTTTAGTGCTTCCTTCAGGAGCTCTTGTAAGGCAGGCCTGGTGGTGACAAAATCTCTCAGCCTTTGCTTGTCTGTAGAGTATTTTATTTCTCTTTCACTTGTGAAGCTTAGTTTGGCTGGATATGAAATTCTGGGTTGAAAATTCTTTTCGTTAAGAATGTTGAATATTGGCCCCCACTCTCTTCTGGCTTGTAGAGTTTCTGCCGAGAGATCCGCTGTTAGTCTGATGGGCTTCCCTTTGTGGGTAACCCGACCTTTCTCTCTGGCTGCCCTTAACATTTTTTCATTCATTTCAACCTTGGTGAATCTGACAATTATGTGTCTTGGGGTTGCTTTTCTTGAGGAGTATCTTTGTGGTATTCTCTGTATTTCCTGAATTTGAATGTTGGCCTGCCTTGCTAAGTTGGGGAATTCTCCTGGATAATATCCTGCAGAGTGTTTTCCAACTTGGTTCCATTCTCCCCATCACTTTCAGATACACCAATCAAACGTAGATTTGGTCTTTTCACATAGTCTCATATTTCTTGGATGCTTTGTTTGTTTCTTTTTACTCTTTTTTCTCTAAACTTCTCTTCTCGCTTCATTTCATTCATTTGATCTTCCATCACTGATACCCTTTCTTCCAGTTGATCGAATCGGCTACTGAAGCTTGTGCATGCATCACATAGTTCTTGTGCCATGGTTTTCAGCTCCATCAGGTCCTTTAAGGTCTTCTCTACACTGTGTATTCTAGTTAGCCATTCATCTCATCTGTATTCAAGGTTTTTAGCTTCCTTACGATGGCTTCAAACATCCTCCTTTAGCTCGAAGAAGTTTGTTATTACTGACCTTCTGAAGCCTACTTCTGTCAATTCATCAAAGTCATTCTCCATCCAGCTTTGTTTCTTTGCTGCCAAGGAGCTGTGATCTTTTGGAGAAGAGGCACTCTGGTTTTTAGAATGTCCAGCTTTTCTGCTCTGTTTTCTCCCCATCTTTGTGGTTTTATCTACCTTTGGTCTTTAATGATGGTGACCTGTAAATGGGGTTTTGGTGTGGATGTCCTTATTGTTGATGTTGATGCTATTCCTTTCTGTTTGTTAGTTTTCCTTCTAACAGTCAGGTCCCTCAGCTGCAGGTCTGTTGGAGTTTGCTGGAGGTCCACTCCAGACCTGTTTGCCTAGGTATCACCAGCAAAGGCTGCAGAACAGCAAATATTGCAGAACAGCAAATGTTGCTGCCTGATCCTTCCTCTGGAAGCTTCATCTCAGAGGGGCACCTGGCTGGTATGAGGTGTCAGTTGCCCCCTACTGGGAGGTGTCTCCCAGTTAGGCTACACAGAGTTCTGGGACCCACTTGAGGAGGCAGTCTGTCTGCTCTCAGAGCTCAAACACCGTGCTGGAAGAATCACTGCTGTCTTCAGAGCTGTCAGACAGGGACGTTTAAGTCTGCAGAAGTTTCTGCTGCCTTTTGTTCAGCTGTGTCCTGCTCCCAGAGGTAGAGTCTGCAGAGGCAGGCTGCGGTAGGCTCCAACCAGTTCGAGCTTCCTGGCCGCTTTGTTTACCTACTCAAGCCTCAGTGATGGCAGATGCCCCTCCCCCAGCCAGGCTTTCACCTTGCAGTTCAATCTCAGACACTGCACTAGCAATGAGCAAGGCTCTGTGGGCGCGGGACCCCCCCCAAGCCAGGCGCGGGGTATAATCTCCTGGTGTGCCATTTGCTAAGACTGTTGGAAAATTGCAGTATTAGGGCAGGAGTGACCCAATTTTCCAGGTACAGTCTGTCACAGCTTTTCTTGGATAGGAAAGGGAAATCCCCTGACCCCTTGCACTTCCCGGGTGAGGCGATGCCCTGCCCTGCTTCAGCTCGCCCTCCGTGGGCTGCACCCACTGTCCAACCAGTCCCAGTGAGATGAACCAGGTACCTCAGTTGGAAATGCAGAAATCACCCATCTTCTGCATCGATCACGCTGGGAGCTGCAGACCGGAGCTGTTCCTATTCAGCCATCTTGTTTTCACTCTTAGAATGCCCATTGCTGTTCATTTTTTTTTTTTTTACAACAGAAATGTTTAGTTACTTTAAGGAAAAAGGAAGCACAGAGAAATAATGTGCTTTAGATCAAAGGCTCAGAGTAGTAACAAGTTGAATTTAAATTGTCAAAGTCTCAGTTTAGAATTAATCTTGGATTTTGAAAGCTGACATAATTAGAGAGAATATAAATTATATAAATTATGAGTATTTTGTGATTGGTCCTATTTCATCTGGGCACATATTGATTTTGCTTGCATGTTCTGAATAATTCACCATGTTAGTCCTTTCGTCTTTTCATGCAGTCATGTCTGTTTTGATGATCTCTTTGTCATATCAGGCATTTAGCCTGAATTATTTTTTTCAGAATACATAATTGTCTATCACATGCCAGGTATTGAACTAGAATCCAAGAATTCAGATATTGAAGTTGATAGTTGATAGTTGAAGTTGATACATGGAATCTTCAGACTAGCAAGCAATATAAACTAACATTCAAGTGTTTAGTTAGTAATTGTGTAAATTGCTTAGAAGGAAAATAAAGTGCCCTGAGAGTATATAACAAGGGTGCCTGATTTAAGCTGATACATCAGGGAAGACCTCTTGAAGGAATCTACCTTTCTTTTGAGACCAAAGCACATGAGAGTAGTGAGGAATGGTAATATGCACATTTCCGATATTGTCACAGCATGTGATAAGGCCCTGGGGCTGGATAACTGAAGGGAGGCCACTGCAGGAGGCTGAAGCCCAGTGAAAGAAGCAGAAGTACCTGCCTCCACAAAGGCTGGAGAAAGCCTGCCAAGAGTTTGAGAACATCTCCAAAATGAAATGAAAAACCATTGACAAGTTTTAAACAGGGACAACTGTAATTAAATTTCTGCTTAAAAATATAAATCTGGCTTCTGTATGGTGAATATAATCAGAAGAAGGCAAAAGTGGAAGTGAGAAAACCAATTAGGAAGCAATTAGAGTTGTCCAGGCAATGATATATGAAAGGCTGGAATGGATGAAGACAAAGTAGACTTATTTGAGATAAAGATGACTCTCAGGTTCCTGGTATGGGTAACTAGCTGATTGGAGACCATATAGTCTAATGGTTTGAGTCCTAGCCCTGCTGTGTGCTCCATAACTTCTTTGTGCTTTAGTTTTACCATCTTCCAAATGAAGATGCTGATTGAAGATCATGATTGAATATACATTTGGAACTCAGAAGAGATGTCTGGACAAAGATAAAAATTAAGAATTATTGGTGTATGGATGGAATTTGGTGCATAAATGAGGGAGCATAATCATCTCTGTAGTATAATTAACAAACTAAGGAGGAAGGTGATTACTGCTATGCCTGAGTTGACGTCATAGAGAGATTATATATGTATTGACTAGCCAATATAGAGCTTAAGTGTTGTAAAAGAGTACAAAGGGAGGGAGGCATGTGAGAGAAAGTGCATGTTTATAGACATGTATAAATCTTGGTTTACAGGGTGCGGTGTGTCTAGGAAAACAGCAGGCAATGAACCTGCGGAAATAGTCTGGGGCCATTAATGTGAGACCAAAGAGTATGGATTATAGACTATAGGAGGTGAAAAGCCACTGAACAGTTTTAATCTGGAGATAAGATCAGATCACCCCTGGCAAGAGGGAGAGTGGATTGAAAGGGAGACTAGTTAGGAAGCTATAATCCAAATGAGAAGTGGGAAGGGCCCAAACTAAAGTGATAGGTAGGGAAGGAAAGTAAACAGATAAAAGCTGGACTTGGTAAGTGGCAAGGAAACATAGAGGGATGACTTCCAGATCCAAGTGGGTGGATGGTTCGTGCCTTCATCAAGGAGAGAACCAAAGGAAAAGGCACTTACTCGATGACTGGGAAGAGGATAAGTTTTTGGGGGCATGGAGTCTGTGAGATTTTAAGATAATGTTGGGGCCTCCGCTCATGAAGTGCTAAGACCAGCATGAAAAATTTTTGTTTGGGTATTCATTATAGAGTTTGACAAGGCAGATAAAGCACAGCAGCATATTTATTGATTAGAAATTAGCAAAAATGAAAAACTGCCTGCAGATCATCTTTTTTTTCAAGATCAGAAAACAGAGGCAAGTTTAGTATTGATATTTTAACATCCTTGGCAAAATCAATCTTAACTTCTCTGTTTGGAAACTTTAGAAGTGAGTTTCAGTACAATAAAATGTAATTATTTTCCTTGAAGTTTCAAAAAGCATTTATAGTTTTTAATAACATTTCCATTGCGTGTTGCCCTTTGAGCCACCACTTTTCTTTTCAATTAACTGTTGTTGTTAGTTTTTCTCCCCCTACATACCCATATCCTAAAGTTGGTATCTACCATTTCCCTAAATGTTTTTATATTTCTATCACATGTGCACATATCCCTGAAATTATATATAAATTTGTTGAAGTATCATGCTGTACATATCCTTCTCCAACTTGCTTCATTCACCTCAGTGTTTTTTTAAGATAGATCTATGTTGAAACATGCAAAATATAGTACAGTAGTCCTCATTATTTGTGTCTTCTATATTTGTGAATTTGCCTACGCGCTCAAATGTACTGGTAACCCCAAAGTCAATACTTAACAGTCCTTTTGCAGTCATTTGTGAACATGCCAGGAGGCAAAAAATACACGTAATGAGAAATGCATATTCTCAGCCAAGGTCAAATAAGGTGATGACCCTCCTTCTTGACAGCTGTCATCCTGTAAACAGGTGTCCTTTTCGTGTTCTATTTAGTCATGTTTTTTTACATGTTGTGCTTTCTGTTCATAATTTCCCTCTTTAAAATGGTTCCCAAGTGTATGCTGAAGGGCTGTCTAATGTTTCTAAAGCACAAGAAGGCTGTGATGTGACTTCCGGAGGATAAGTGGAGGACAGGTGTTTAAGATAAGCTTTGTTCAGGCATGAGTTACAGCACTGTTAGTTGTGAGTTTGGTGTTAATAAACCAACAAGTATATTAAATAAGGTGTATTTAAACACAGAAAGACACACAAAACAACATTATGTCTTGATCATTTGAGAAAAATGTGACCAGAGGCTCACAGGAACCTGTATTTCCTCTAGGGGCAATGATTCGGTATTTACTAATTCAGTGTTCATGGCAACTTTATAGAACATAACTACCACACATAATGAGAATCTACTGTATATTTACCTAACTGCTTTATGATATTATCTTCTATGACTATGCCACATGTATGTACCCTTTGCCCATATTTAGATTATGTTCAATTTTTAATTTAAAAAGTTTAAAAAATTATATTAACATTTCATCAGGGTATGTAGGTAGGAGTGAAATATTAAAGTCTCCACACATTTTCAGGAAGAGTGTATGTCGCCATATTTCTCTCTAAAACATTCTATTTAATGGTATTTTCACTAATAAAGTATAGAGGTTCCAACTGCTCTACAAACTATCAAGCATAGGGCACTATCAACCTTAAATATTTACCTACATGATAGATGTGGATTGGTATTTCCTTGATTGGAATATAAAATGTTCCTGATTTCCATTGGAATTGAGGATTTTTTTTTGTATTCTGGACTGTGCATATTTGAAAAGTTAATTATGTAGATACAGTTGGGTCAGATCTAATAATTTAAAATAAATAGCAAATTTTATGTGCAAGGTTGGCCCTTTGATGATTGCAAAAATAGAAGCAAAAGTGCCGGGCACAGTCACTCACGCCTATAATCCCAGAACTTTGGGAGGTCAAGGCAGGCTGAACTTGAGGTCAGGAGTTCTAGACCAGCCTGGCCAACATGGCAAAACCCTGTCTCTACTAAAAATACAAAAATTAGGCCGGGCGCAGTGCCTCACGCCTGTAATCCCAGCACTTTGGGAGGCTGAGATGGGGAGATCACAAGGTCAGGAGTTCAAGACCAGCCTGGCCAAAGTGGCAAAACCGCGTCTCTACTAAAAATACAAAAATTAGCTGGGCCATGGTGGCAGGCGCCTGTAATCCCAGCTACTCGGGAGGCTGAGGCAGGAGAACGCTTGAACCCAGGTGGCAGAGGTTTCAGTAAGCCAAGATCATGCCATTACACTCCAGCCAGGGGGATAAGAGCAAGATTCCATCTCAAAAAATGTATATATATATACAAAAATTAGTGGAACATGGTGGCTCGTGCCTGTAATCCCAGCTACTTGGGAGGCTGAGGCATGAAAATCGCTTGAACCCAGGAGGCAGACTGTGCCACTGCACTCCAGCCTAGGCAACAGAGTGAGACTCTGTCTCAAAAAAAAAAAAAAAAAAAAAAAAAAAAAGAGAGAGACAAAGGAAAAAGTTGAAAGAAATGAATGATGTTAGAATTTGGGTGAGCACAAAGTGGCCCACAGGCCAAATCCCGCGTACCATCTATTTTTGTCAGTAGTTTTGTAGGAACACAGCCGTGCCCATTTGTTTATATATTGTCTGTGGCTGCTTTCATGCTGTCCACGGCAGAGCTGAGTAGTTGCAAAAGTGACTGTGTAATCCATGAACCCTAAATATTTACTATCTGGCCCTTTACGGAAAAAGTTTGCCAGCTCCTAATGTAGGAGCATAATTGCTGTAGATTGATGTAAACATCTGAGTTTTTATCATCACTATTCAATATCATGATTTGCTGTTACCGTTACTAGGCACTAAAACTCAGAACTTACATGGTTGAAATTATTTTGTATTCTTTTGGGCCTATTTTACAACTATATTGTCATTTTAAAACTTACGTATTAGCTATAAGGTATAAACTATTTACTGTCTGCAAGCAGATGAATTTATTTTACTTCAAAATTATATTCCTGATTGTTTAATATTTTGCTTTTTTAAATAATTGTGCCTAACTGACCAACACTATGCTTAAAATTCCTTTAATTAAGAAATCACACTGGTTCTTCCTTTACATTTCCATCTAATGAGTCACTTTTAGAGTGAATCATTTCTCAATATGGCTTTTCCTGAGATATAGGCTAAGGCAAAAATAATAACAGACAATGTAAATAGGAAAAATAAATTTTCAAAAATTTACTACAATTTTTATCAGTGTTTCTTCTGCTTTTATTTTGTTTTTGACTCATATTTGCTTAATCCATGTAAATATGTCCCAAGGAATCCAATTACATTTTTTCGCAGATACTTTCTTTTTCCTCTTGGAGTGGCTGTAGGTGAAAATTTTTCCTGATATTTTTCACAAGTTGTTGATTACTCCTTTGAAATACCCTGTGATGCTCTGTAGTCACTTAATAGCTAGATATATTTGGGAGAATATACTATGCATAGGTTTTATGCCTGGAGACTTAGTAGTTACCACCTTTCCATTTAACTACTTACACTTACGAATGACAGAGAAAGGGACATTTTGTTTGTTTGTTTTTAAGAAAAGCTCTATTAAAAATAGCACATGCTTATAAAGCAGAGCACAAAAACATAGGTAACTCCTTTTTAAAAGATCACAAATGGCCGGGCATGGTGGCTCATGCCTGTAATCCCAGCACTTTGGGAGGCTGAGGCAGGCAGATCATGAGGTCAGGAGATGGAGACCATCCTGGCAAACATGGTGAAACCCCGTCTCTACTAAAATACAAAAAATTAGCCGGGTGTGGTGGCGCGTGCCTGTAGTCCCAGCTACTCGGGAGGCTGAGGCAGGAGAATAGCTTGAACCTGGGAGGTGGAGCTTGCAGTAAGCTGATATCGTGCCACTGCACTCCAGCCTGGTGACAGAGCAAGACTCTGTCTCAAAAATAAATAAATAAATAAGATCACAAACACAATGAAATGCTAGCAATCATCTTGATTTAATAACTCTGAAAGAAAGGTTTTATTTAGAGAAGGGTTAAAGAAATTTATTTGAAGTTCCACCAACATCCACATCTACCTATCAAACACTAATCTTGTAAATGACTCTTTGGAATCTTTCCTGGCATCCTTCTCCCTGACTGGAAAGGATCACTTCTATTGTGTCCCACATCAATATAGCATTCCTTTGACTACTTCTCTTTTTACCTTTCAGTAGAGTATAAACTCTTTCAGAATAAGGTTGTAAGGTGTCACATATCTAGATTCTAATATATTGCCTGACAGTTTGTTGAATGAATGAATGATTTATTCTTTCTCTCGAATTCTATTATCGCAATATATTCCGATTTTTTTGTTTACTTCTTGATCTTAAAGACAACCCTGTTTGATTATCTTCTTCAGATTTACAGTTTGGATTCTGAGAACATCATGAAAGTTTGAATTTGAACTTGTTTGTTTTCTGCTTCATGTGAAATCCTTTAAGTGGAAACTTACCCTGATGACTCTATCCAGGCCTTTATTTATTCATCTTGTTATCAGGAAGCTCACATCCCTTTATCCCATTAAAAGAAAAAAAAACATAAACAAAACTCTTTTTCTTTCTACATCCTCCCAACACTTCTGACATCAAATGTGTGTTTTGCATACCAAGCAATTCTCCAATTATCTGCAGACATGAACTGGGTGTCTGACAATTTAACTCAGTTTTGGCACTAACTGCCTGGCATTAGCATAGTCCCCGCAAGTCAAATGCCACAAGACTGTCCCCAATTTCAGATGTAAGTCCCAGGTTGTGACTTGTACTTCTGACAAAGTGGCTATAAATCAGGGGTTCCATGGCCCCAACTTCAGGTTTGATAATTTGCTAGAACAGTTCACAGAACTTAGAAAAGCACCCTAGCCATACTTACCAGTTTATTTTAAAGGATACAACTCAAGAACAGCCAAATGAAAGAGATGCTTAGGACACAGTATGGGGGAGGGCACAGAACTTCAGTGCCCCTTCTGGGCACACCACCCTCGCAGCACCTCCATGTATTCACCAACCTGGAAGCTCTCCAAAGCCCATTGTTTACGCTTTTTATGGAGGTTCCATTAGGTGGGCACGATTAATTAAAGCATTGGTCATTGGTGATTGAATTCTATCTCCAGCCCCTTTCCCCTCTCTAGAGGCTGTAAGTTCCCACCCTCTAATCACGCAGTTAGTTCCTCTGGCAGCCAGTCCTCATCCTGAAGCTCTCTAGCAGTTTTCAGCCTCAAATCATCTCATTAATATGCAAAAAGGCACTCATCACTGGACAGTCCAAGGGTTTTAGAAGATCTTATATCAGGAACCAGGGACTAAGACCAAATATATATGTATATATTTGTCACACCCATCTTTTCTTTGGCTAAATGAAGGAAGAAAAAATAAAAAAGGAAAGAAAAACATAGTTTTTTTTTTTTCCTCATGATGTCCCAGTGAGAAGTCTCTCTTAATGACTATATTATTTACGTAGAATGATAAAGACTGGTAACTAGCCTAGCAACTCATGGATCTACCCAAACTTCCTTATACATTTTATTATTGTTTATTTATTTTTACACGTAAAAAACTGGTTCATAATACGTGTACACTAACTGGGGGCATCAGAACAGAAGAAGGAGGGATATGAGCACTGAGAAGACAACTAATAATTGTCCACTGCACAAGATCTCTTTAGTGAGCATCAAAGTTAGAAGATGAAAGGTATGTATGTAATCCAGGGCCTTATATTTTATCAACAAAGATTAGTGTTTGGGGGAATTTCAGTCCAAAAACTGAACCTAGTTTTTTCTCCACATCATGGACATAATAACTGTTATAAAATGCTTTGTTGCCTACTGAATAGCAAATAAAGGTCAAACCCTTTAGCATGGTATACACTGCCTTAACAGTCTGAGTCCAGCCCAACCTTCTAGTCCCAACTCTTGCCACCATCTCTTTATTTCCTTCCATGCCCACTCATTTCAGATTTCTTATTTTATGCCTTTGCTCCCTCTGTTTTCATTATCTGGAAGCCTTCCCTCCTCACCTCTCTCTGCCTACGTCAGAATTAGTTGTGTGCCTTATGTGTATTCTCAAATAGCATTGTATATATACATTATATAAAAATACATTATACAGTCATTACTTAACACCTGTAAGTTTTTCCTAACATTTATCATAGCTCATATGTATATATGCATGCAATTACATGATTAATGTTTGTTTTCCCCACTAGACTACAAGCTCTAGAGTGCAGAAATAAGTCTAATTTAGTCTCTCTTGTATCCTTAGTATTCACAGGTAGTAAGTGCTCCATAAATATCTGTTGCTATTGAATGTTTTTAAAAATATGAGAGACAGTGTGAAATAGTAGTTAAGATTGCTGTTTCTGTTATCAGATTGCCACAAGTCAAATCCTAGATTCATCACTTACTATCTGTGTGACTTTGGGCAGGCTCCTTAAATTTTCTGTATCTCTGTTCTACCACCTTTAAAATGGAAATAGTAGTACCTATTTCATAGGGTTTTTAAAATTGAAAATGAGAATAGATAGATAGATAATGTTTAAATATTATGCCTACCATATAGTAAGCACTCAACAGTTAGCTATTATTGCAATTATGCTTATTACTAGAGGTAGGAGTCCATGTGCCTCTTTTCTTGCTAGACTATCTACTTCTTTAAGACTACAGCCAGCATCATTAATGATGTCAGGGCCTAGTCCAAGGCTCAGCATGTCATAGTCATTTGGTAAATGCTTATTAAATTGTTGTTGAATTTGAAGAATGCTATTTAAGAATAAACCACTAGGATAGTTTGATAATGACTTGTCTTCCCAAGTTCCACAGTCTTTTATTATTTTTATTAATTATGAAAATTAATAACTCTCACTTCTGTCATTTATTATGTGCCCAGTCTATTCCAGGCAATAATGATACATGGATTATTTCGTTTAGTTTAGTTTTTTTTTTTTTTTTTTTGAGACGGAGTCTTGCTCTGTTGCCCAGGCTGGAGTGCAGTGGCATGATCTTGGCTCATTGCAACCTTTGCCTCCCGGATTCAAGCGATTTTCCTGCCTCAGCCTCCTGAGTAGCTGGGATTACAGGCATGCACAACCATGCTTGGCTAATTTTTGTATTTTTAGTAGAGATGGGGTTTTGCCATGTTGACCAGGCTGGTCACGAACTCCTGACCTCAGGTGATTTGCCCGCCTCAGACTCCCAAAGATGTCATTTAATTTTTATAATAACTTGTGAGGTGTAGGTTTTTCATTATACAGATGAGGCAGCTGAGCCTCAGAGAAGTTAAGGGACTTACTCCACATCATGCAGCTGGCAACAGAGAAAAAGAGAGTTTAAAGCCAGTTTCTCCCTATAAATGAATATGTTGTAAAATAAAGTGTTCACCTATATATATGACAACAGAAATGGCTTTAGTTCATTGAGAATGCACATTTTGTAAAATAACTGGTAATGCCTCATGGCCTTGTCACAATGAGTGGCGCCCTAATGGAGGAAACCTCACTGATTCCTGGCCTTACAATTTCCAGCTGGCTTTGTGGACAGGGTTCATTAGTCTCAGAGTTTGGCAAAAGGAGTGCAAAACATTCCATCAGCTTCCCTTGTTTATAGTAGGGCCTACATTAAAAGAAAGCTTGGATTAGGAATAAATGGCATTTGTTTTATCCCTTTAATCATTTTCTGGCAGTGATGCTCACAGTACACATTCACAAATACACACAGATACAAATGTGCTGTCCTGTTCCCCAAAACAGCACCTTCAGAAGAACCTTTCAATGCAACATCCCTTCACTATTATTGAGGGAATGTGGGAGGTGCTTCTTCCCCACAACCCAAATGTACCTTCACTTGTGGATATATCATAGAAATGCAAACAGATCACCAGATAATTGTGGTACTTACTATTCACAATCATAGATGAAAGAATTATTTCTAGACGTTTTCCAGAAGAAGCAGCTTAACTACTGCTGAACAGTGTAAGTCTTACAGCACAGAATCCTGAGTATTCTCATCCTTCCCTGAGGCGTTAATGCTCATTCCTGGGAGAAATCTGGGCTGCTTAATTTTTCCCCATAATATTTATGCTAGAAGAGTGAGATAATATTTTAAGAACACATTAATCAGGTTATCAAAAGCTGTTTTCATGTTTGATTAGTGCTTTGATGAACTTATTTAATAAGTACTCAGAAAAACACAATGCAATTATTTTTTGAATGTATTATTTTTGGTCCACTTAAATATAAAGAAACCTGTAAGGAAAAACTAGCTATAGTTTTATAATATATGATTTATAAGTACATTGCATCAGCTGTTTGAGGCAGCAAGGGAGGGGGAAAGAAGCAACAAAGGAATTACTGAATTTGTTTTTATAAGGAAAATAGTATTTTGAATATTCATTAATTGCCTCTTCTGTGTTGAAGACTTACAGGCAGGAGATACAAAAATGAAAAAGACACACTTGGAAATCACTCACTCTAATAAGGACAACATGTGGAAACAAGCTATTACAGCACCAGAATAAAGAAGCTAATAGTGTCTGCTACCTTAAAATCCCAGCCCCCTCTAAAAACAACACTATACCCACTCCTTGCCTATCTTAGTACCTGAATGCAGCTGGTGAAACCCACGCAACTAAGCTGAGGTCCTGGTCTAAGGACATGGCTCTCAACCTCAAAAGGGCCCTCATGCTGGCAGTCCTGCTCCTTCCCCTCAAGCCCTTCATGCTTCCTCTCTTGTAAGCAACTCCTTCATACATTCTCCTTGGCCATTATGCCTCCAACATCACTTCCTTCACCGCTTCACACTCAGAGGATGACCTTGCTTGCTGTTTCACTGAGAACATCAGGAGACAGCATCCACCTGCTCCCACACTCATATCCCTCCACCACCTGCCTCTGGGCCCACAGTGTTCTTCCTTCTTCCTTCCCATCTCCTGGACGGGCTGAGAGTCCTGACTAAGATCAGCTCCTCTCCTGTGTGCATGATTCCATCCCCTCTCACCCACTCAAGAACTCTCCCCCAATTTTTCCTCCTTCCTCCTCCCTCTCCTGGGTCACCAGTTTGATGTCTGTCTATTGAATCATTCCCATTTGCATAGAAATATGCTATAATGTTTTCCATCTTATTTGAAAATAAAAACAACCCTCCTTTGACTCTTCAGCCCTCTTTAGCAATCGCCTCTTTCCTTTGCTATTCTTCACAGCAGAACTGCTTGAAAGAATTATACAAGCTCTCCTTTGAAAATGGAGAAAGAAAAAAAAAGAACTATTTAAGCTCTGTGTTTTCACTTCCTCTTTTTTTGCCTGGAACCCACTCTAATCAATCCCTACTACAAAATGAAACAGCACATTGCCAAATTCAGTGGTCAGTTCTCAGATTTCATTATTCGCCCTGTCAGCGGCATTTGACACACTTGATCTTCCTCTTTGTTGTAACAGCTTTATTGAGATATAATTTATATACTGTAAAACTCACCCTTTTAAGGTTACAATTCAGTGGTTTTTCATGTATTTACAAAGTTGTGCAACCATCAACAATATCTAATTCCAGAACATTTCATTACCCTCAAAAGAAACCCCATACCCATTTGCAGTTACTTCCCCTCCTCCATCCCCTGCCAGCCACTAATCTATTTTTTGTCTCTCTGGATTTGCGTGTTCTAGACATTTCCTGCCAATGGAATTATACAATATGTGTCCTTTTGTTTCTGCCTCCTTTCACTTGGCATAATGTTTTCAGGATTCATCTATGCTCTATCATGTACTTCATTCCTTTCATTACTGATCGTATTCCACCCTACAGATATACCACATTTTGCTTATCCATATGTCAGTTGATGGACATTTGAGTTGTTTCTACTTTTTGCCTACCATGAATATTGCAGCTGTGAACATTAGTATACAAAATGAAATGTTTTACTGCAAAATTTTATGTAACAGAATGAAAATTTGTTAAAGTCTTCTACCTTAATTCCTACACTGCTCAGTATAAACGATTACTTTTTGACTGAATTTTTTCCTGATAAAAGACTTAAAGTCAGAGAATTGAGCAAATAACTTTGTAAAATAGCAGATGGAACTGTGTCGAGATTAATAAGAAACCTCACCCTACTACCATGTACAGATTTACCTGAGTAGCTTCTAAAAGGTGAGGCTTCCTTGAGCCCAAGTCTCAGGACATGGGGCTCTACCATGGGGCCATATAGTTAGAGCCAATGTAGTTTCTTGACTCATAGTCATGCATTAATAATTCTTTTACTCTATAAATTCAGATTCTTGTGATCTCTGTACCGTAACTATTTTTAAGTGGCAGATTTTGAAATTGAATATAAATGAAAGTTCTAAAATAAGAGCAATGTTTACACAATAGAATTAATATATTTTATAGTATCAGCTGATTGTTAACATTTCAATGTTTCTAGGAAGAAAGTAGATGCTATTATTTAGTTTCTTAGTCATTATACAGACATTTAGTGGTCACCTACTGTTTGCTAAGTGCTATTCTATGAGGCAGGGCTATAGCAGTTAACAAAACCCACAAACATTTCTGCTGGAATGGCACTTCCCAGTTTGCAGAAGAGAGAGGAGCTGAGAGGGGCAGAGTTGAGGAAAACAAAGAACTAAGGAGTGTTACTTGCTTGGGCCACACTGTGAACCTGTAATTGATTTGATCTCTTATATTTCAAGATAAGCTTTTTTTTTTTTTTTTTTTTTGAGGCAGAATCTTGCTCTGTTGCCCAGGCTGGAGTGCAGTGGCACAATCTTCACTCACTGCAACCTCCGCCTCCCAGGTTCAAGCGATTATCCTGCCTCAGCCTCCTGAGTAGCTGGTATTGCAGGCATGCGCCACCATGCCTGGCTAATTTTTTTTATTTTTAGTACTGACAGGGTTTCACCATGTTGGCCAGGCTGGTCTTGAACTCCTGGCCTCAAGTGATCCGCCTGCCTTGGCCTGCCAAAGTGCTGGGATTACAGGGGTGAGCCACCACACTTGGCCTCAACATAAACCTTTTGAAAAGTATAAAATTTCTTTTTTCTCATCTATGCGTGATTTTTCTAACAAAGTTAAATTGAGTTATGCTAAAATACAGACTTGCTCTAAAACTTGGATCAAGATGAGATTTTAATTAGTTATAACTGTTTAACATTGTCCCATTTTTACTATTACAAAAAAAGATAAGCATGTGTAAGAAACTACTCCCCTCCTAAAAATATATATTCCCTAAAGCATGTTAATAATTTTCTCAGAAAAAAAAATGGAACATTAATTAGCTAGCACTGTGGCTGGCACAGGAGAGATTCATTAAATTATCTATGAGGAGAGTAGCAGCAGTTTAGTAAACAAATCTCTTTTTTGGAAAGCTAAATGAAACTTTTTTTAAGCAAAAACAAAGGCTTTTTTATGATTTGGAGTTTTTGTGGTCTTTAAATTAAAACTATGTATCTTTTTTTTGTAAATTCAGAACTAAGCATCTCTTTTCTGATACTTTGTTATTTCACATTTCTTCTTATGAAGATTATGAGTTTAACGAACATGAAAGAGAGGCAAGAAGCTTTGCCATCTTCCATACAAGTGACAGGTGGAGGAGAGAAAAGGCCAAAGAGAATGAGGAGGACTGGTTAACTTTCTTGAGAAAATCTAAGTGTTAAAAGTTAGTGCTACTTCTTTTGTCCTTCGATCTCAATCTTTCATAATCATTTAAGCCTTGAATATAATTTTCTGTCCTTTCCTAATCACTTCTCAGAGTACCTGATGAAGAATATGGAGTCCATGAAAAGAACACAGTTAGAGTTTGGGTTTTTTGGTTTTTTTGGGGTTTTTTGGTTTTTTGTTTATTTGTTTTGGAGGTGGGGATGTTGAGACAGGGTCTCACTCTGTCACACAGATGAGAGTGCAGTGGCATGGTCACAGCTCACTGCAGCCTCAACCTCCTGGACTCAAGCCATTCTCCCACCTCAGCTTCCCAAGTAGTTGGGACTACAGGTGGACTCTACAAGGCCTGGCTATTTTTTTTTTAATTATTTTGTAGAGACAGGGTCTCATTATGTCACTGAGGCTTGTCTCGACCTCCTGGTCTCAAGCAATCCCCCCATCTTGGCCTCCCAAAGTGCTAGGATTACAGGTGTGAGCCACCATGCCCGGTCCACACTTAGAGTTTTTGTACTTTCAAAATGCCAGCACAGCAACTGAACAGTGCTTAGGGTGACTCCTAAGTCTAAACTATCAGTTTATTATGCCTAAGCTTTTAAAAATTACTTACTAACAATACTGTCTCATAATAGCTTACTAAATTATTATTTTAAATTTTCCTGCAGTTGACTCACAAGCACATTACTTTTCTGGGAAGAAACTTTTAAGTGGAGAAACCTTCTACTCCTCCACAATGAAAAGAAGCTGTCCAGTAAACGAAATCCCTCCTGCTTCATGTCCACTTAGCATGGCAGATAATTCGTACTCTACACTCTCCTGTGGAACAGAGAGCCTTACAGCTTACTGTTGTATCATCACAGTTCTATGATGGCAATGTATAAAAATTAAGATTGAGGCATGATATTTTAATGTCTTTTTTATTTTCAGTCACATTAATTTATCAGGGTTAATTAGTGCCTGGTATCACATATTTTTTTTTTTTTTGGTGATGGGTTCCTTATTCAATTTTTAAAGATTAGACCATCTTAAAATATTTTTAGTGTTGACTGTGACAATTTGTTTTTTGGCTTTCAAAACAAATTATTGTGTGTTTTAAGTATGATGACCCTAGTTTTATTGGAGGTATATATCTACCTCCTTTTGCTTTTTTATTTGCTAAACTAGCTCATACTGTATCTCATAAAAAGTACTTTACTATCTTATTTAAAACTTTGTAAGTATTTTAATGGCTGGGTAATCCTTTATCATGTGTATATGCCATAATTTACGTATGATAGTAATTTGGTTATTTAGAATGCTTACATTTTCATTCTATTATAAATAAAAATATGATGAACATATCTTCCATCTAGTTTTGTCCTCAAATTTGATTTTTTTCCTAAGGCTATGTTTCTAGAATGCTTCAACAGGTGCCAGAGAAATAAATTGAAAGAAAAGAAAAATTTAACTTCTAATACCCAAAAAAGAAAAAAGAAAATCGTTGCATTATGGTAGGTAGTATGAATTTCATTTAAAATGCCATTTATTCTTGCAATTCCAACATTTAACATGTAACCAAGTATATAGACTAGTGGTTAAGCACAGGTACTGAGGCCTGTCTGGGTTCTGATGGTAACTCTGCCACTTACTCCTCGGAACAAATGAAATTTTTTGTGCCTCAGTTTCCTCATCTTTCAAATGATAATAATAACAGCTCTTGACTCCTTGGGTGGTTTTGAGAATTAAATGGGTTGGTTTATGTAAATCTCTTGGAACCATGCCTGGCACAGAATAAGTGCTCAGTAAATATTAATTATAACAGCAGCAGCACCAGGATTTAAGAGAATGTTTTCTAATTTTACTGTCTCAAAGAACATTCATTTGTTTTTATTCCCATGGCATGTTAAATACTAAAGCACCTTAAAAATGCCACAATTAGAGCTACTGCGCACTTGCAGATACATGCATGGAATGTATTCTTTTTGAGATTCCTGTAATTGTTTGTATTTTAGTTGTACACATAAATCACACAGCGTATACGTAGATCTTTATCTCAAATAGCCAGTGGCAGAATTCTTATGAGCAAAGTGTTCATCATAGATGGTTTGGGGGATTTTATAGTTTTTACCTTCACATACAAAAGTTACTAAATGATCAAATAAATGAAGAAATGAGTAAAAGAAAGAAGCAAAGTGTGGTGTGAACTAGTGGATGTCAGTTATAACTACAGTGGAAAGAGAAAGCTGGCCTCCCCAGTCTGTATCCCCAACCCTTGGCCATTTTGCTGCTTCAGCCACATGTTATGAGAGAGGCTGCAGGTATGTCTTTCCAGCACATTCACTCCATTTATTACGGTAAGGCTGTTGGCGCGATTTGGAGTCCCTGACTAGCAGGGCTTGCCTGAGCCTCATGGAGCCACTAAGCAACTCTTGCTGAGATAAGGTGGGTCTAAATGGCCTCCTGGGCCCACTTCTTGTCTGTCTTCCCCTCGATTAGAATATGTTTTATAAAAGCATGGAGTTTTCTTTTATATTAGTCAGGGTTCACTAGAGGGACAGAACTAATAGGATAGATGTTTATTATGAAGAGGAGTTTATTAGGAGAATTGACTCACACGATCACAAGGTGAAGTCCCACAATAGGCTGTCTGCAAGCTAAGGAGCTAGGAAGCCAGTCTGAGTCCCAAAACCTCAAAAGTAGGGAAGCCGATAGTGGAGCCTTCAATCTGTGGCCAAAGGCCCAAGAGCCCCTGGCAAACCACTGGTGTAAGTCCAAGAGTCCAAAAGCCGAAGAACTTGGAGTCTGATGTTCAAGGGCAGGAAGCATCCAGCACAGGAGAAAGATGGAGGCTTGAACACTCAGCCAGTCTAGTCCTTCCACGTTCCTCTGCCTGCTTTTATCCTAGCTGAGCTGGCAGCTGACTAGATGGTGTCGACCTAGACTGAGGGTGGGTCTGCTCTTCCCAGTCCACTGACTCAAATGGAGTCCACTGACTCACAGACACACCCAGGAACAGTACTTTGCATCCTTCAATCAAGTTGACACTCAGTATTAACCATCACAGTCTCCTCATTTTAACACCATGAAATGTTGTCAAACAACTGTCCTTGTGCTTGCTTTAATATGGGCAGGGAACTAAATCTAAATGTGAGATTTTTGGCTAATTAGTTTGAAATCTTACTGCATTTTCAGTGGTTTTATTGATTTTTCATGTCTACTCTTATGAAAAATAATCACATGCAAAAGGAGCTCCTTAATGAAATATATAACAGCGTATATTTTTACTTTCATGTTCTTGCTATTAATGTTTTTTTAAAAAAGTATTCTTGGTATTCTTGAAAATTGCTAAAAGAGTAGATTTTAAGTTTTCTCACCACAAAAAATGTATGTGAGGTAACGCATATGTTAATTATCTGTTTAACTGTTCCACAGTGTATACATATTTCAGAACAACATGTTGTACAGGATGAATATATATAATTTTTGTCAATAAAAAAGTCAGTCTCAGCAAATATGGACTACAGAAGTGTTTTTGTACGTTTATAATATTTAAAAATTTTTTCCTTGCTTTCCTGATTTTATGAGCTTAAGAATGCTCTGCAAAGAAATGTCATGAAAAATTAATTGTCAGTCACCAGATTTGGGCAAATTTTATGTAACAACAATAATAATAAAAACTAGCTTTTATTGAGTTCACTTTGCTCTATCCTAAATATACCTTTTTGCCAAATTATGTTCATATATTTTGTTTGCGTGTGTTGTTTGGTTTTGTAAATTAATGTTATTTTTAGTTGACAAGTCATAATTATACATATTTCTTCATATATTGTTTTTATATAATCTTCATAGAGGCATGAATTTATTCAATATTTATGTTCATAATTATTCCCATATTACTTTTAAAAATTATCTGTTTTATTAACTATCCTCTGGGATAGTCAATGTCTTAAGAATACCTTGTGGTTGACAAGTGGATTGTCTCACAATAAGTATTTACTAATAGATCCAAAACTTTGCTAGACTTTATGGTAAAAATGTTAATAAGAAGAATAAAAGAAAGGAGAGAGAAAGAGATAAACAATAGGAGGAGACTATGATCTCTATTTGCAGAGAACCCATTGAGACCATATGACCTAGAAACATGAGAAAACTTAGATTAAAGTATCAGGCAATGTGTAATCAAGGGTAGACTATGTGGTAGTGTGTTATGGAAATTCAGAATTGGGAAAGGTCATTAAGACCTGAAGTTAAGTCCAGGCGCCGTGGCTCAAGCCTGTAATCCCAGCACTTTGGGAGGCCGAGGTGGGCAGATAACTTGAAGTCAGGAGTTTGAGACTGGCCAGGCCAACATGGTGAAACCACATCCCTACAAAAAATACAAAAATTACCCTGACTTGTTGGTGCATGCCTGTAATCCCACCTACTCAGGAGGCTGAGGAAGGAGAATCGCTTGAACCCAGGAGGTGGGGGTTGCAGTAAGCCAAGATCACGCCACTGCACTACAGCAGCCTGGGTGACAGAGCGAGACTCTGTCTCAAAAAAAAAAAAAAAAGACCTGAAGTTAGTTAGAGAAAGTCCACTGGAGTTATCTCAGCCTCTAAGGAAGTTAGGATTGGTTTGGTTTTAAGCAGTTGAGTGGCCAGCAATGAGCACATGACATTCCAGATGTAAGGACAAGCATGGGAAAAATCCTAGAGACAAGAAAAAGCTTCCAGTGTACCAAATACAATTGATCCGAGGTTTCTAATTTTTCCTACAATTCTGGCATAATATTTTTTACATTTTAAAGGAAAAGAATATTGATTGTATTCATATTCATTCTGATCTAAAATAAGAGAACATGAAGGTATTTTGGTGGCTAGAGGGAACATAACTTCAGACACAGTCTGAGAAGTCAGTACCCCCGGGATTCATTTGGGACATATATTACCCATGCATTCCAAGATAAAAGAAAACTAAAAAGCTTGTGTTTTTCCTATTTATTACCTTAACCAAAATTTTATTAGATCTTACTTTGCCCTACAAAAGAGGGCTACAATAGAAACCATCAGCAAATTTGTGTTTTGCTTATTGGTAGTAAATATTTCTGAATACCTTTCAGACACTGGCATCCTTTATTCCAGTGGTTCTTAGCTCTTTTTTTTCCTGCCTCCTTCCAACTATTTTTTATTTCCTTCAATCCAAGTTGCCAGTCTGACATACTCCCATATCATTTCTCATTACATAGAATGATTATTCTAAGGAGGGGTGGGCCTGGGGAAGATTTCTGCCAGAATAGAAATGTTCTCGGTAGGGTATATAAGGTTTGAATGTTCTCCTTGGAAATATTTGTATCTCCCCTTCCCTGTGCCCTTTGCTATATCATTTTTATATGTAGTTTAAATTTAATTTTTAGCTTGATATTTTTCTGGGGTGTTATAAATTGGATTATTGCAAAATTGGAATAAATTGTCTTTTATCATAAACTTAATTTGAAAGACTTTAACATTTATCTAGCTCTCCCCCACCCCTCTTTTTTTTTTCTTCTAGATCCCAAAATCCAGGAGTGAGGGATCTATTCAGGCCCACAGAGTACTGCAACCAGAGCTATCTGATGGCATTCCTCAGCTCAGCTTGCGGCTAAGTTATAGAAAAGCCTGCTTGGAAGACATGAATTCAGCAGAGGGTGCTATTAGTGCCAAGTTGGTACCCAGGTTGGCATGTTTTCTTTATCTACACAATCCATATTGCATTATTCGCTCTTATGTTTAGGCCCGCATATGTAGGTATTTCTGCATTGATCTGCCACTGGAGTTTACAGGATATAGATCAGTAAAGATACTTAAAATTCACTCTATGTTTTGAGAATTTTCTGACTAATAGTTCTTATCACAGAAGCATTCTAGTTGTTTTGTTTTCCAGATTAAAACAAGTGATTTAATCAACAGAAGTTATGTTAGGCTCACAGTTAAAGTTGAATTGTTATTTTTGGATGCTTTTTCATAGCATGTTCAGTAGAAAATATCTGCAATTTAAAGTGGAGATCGAAGTTGTCACTAGAACCAACTCTCACAAACTAATTTTGAGTGTTGCTTTTTAACCAGTATGTTGCACATTATAACTGAAAGCAGACTTCTCTGGTATACTCGAAGAAAAAAAACTGCAATTTTTTTTTTTGAGACACAGTCTCGCTGTGTTGCCCAGGCTGGAGTGCAATGGCGCAATCTCGGCTCACTGCAACCTCCACCTCCTGGATTCAAGCAATTATCCTGCCTCAGCCTCCCAAGTAGCTAAGACTACAGGTGTGTGCCACCATGCCCGGCTAATTTTTTTGTATTTTTAGTAGAGATGGGGTTTCACCTTGTTGGTCAGGCTGGTCTTGAATTCCTGAACTCAAATGATCCCTCTACCTCGGCCTCCCAAAGTGCTGGGATTACAGGCATGAGCCACCACGCCCGGCCACAATTTTCTTAAAATAGGTAAATTTGGGCTTGAATTTTATTTACTACTAGCTTGAATTTTATTTACTACTAGAATTACTATAATTCCAGAAATTATATAATTTTCATTTTAATAATATCTTCTATTATAACTTATAACCTATTTTTAAAATAAAAATACTCCAGGAAGTTGAAAGAAGACATTAAACAGAGAAATAATTTAGTTAAGGAGCTTGCCACTTTGTATTGCCTTATAGAAGACATAGCATTTGGGCTGGATCTGATGAAGATAATTTAGATGGCGAAGATGATAAAGATAATTTAGATAGGAAGAGAAAGAAGACAAGAGTATTGTAGATATGCTTACTTAGGAGGTATAACAGGTATTTTGGAAATTGTAAACTGGAATTAGTTGGAGATAAGGCTGGAAAGGTGGAGTGAGGCCAGGTCATAGAGGACCTTGAATGCCTGGTTCATGTATTTTTTCATTCTTTCATTCGTTGAACAAATGTTTGGGTGGTTAACCTCTGGTTCCACGAACTGCTTTAAGACTGGAGATGCAGAGCAATGAACAAAACCAACGAGGCCCCTGTGTTAAGGAACCGTACATTCTAATAAGGAAAGCAATAGAGAGAGATGATAGAAAAAAAGACTGTGAGGAAGATGATTTCAGCTCTAATAAATGAAAGATATTAAGAAATTATAACAGTTTAATAGACTGATGCAAAGATCATTTTAGTTTGAGTAGTCAGGGAAAGTTTGTTCTGAGACATAAGGAGGGGGAGAAAGTCTGTAAAAATCAAGGAAAGAGCATTCCAGGCAGAGATAATAGCAAATGCAAAAGAACCGAAATAGGAGAACCTCGATTTTATCCCAGAGGTAATACGAAGCCAATGAAAGTTTGAGCTGGGTAGGGGAGGTGATAGATACCATAGGGAGTTAGTATATTAGGAAAAGTAACCTTCCATCAGTGTGCAGGATAGATTAGAAGAGGTAGAGTTGGGAGGCAATTGCAGTGTTGGTTCCTTCAACAGGTGTTAATCTTTATTGAAATCTAGTTATATGGCATTTACTAGAAAGATGTAAATCTCCCACTTGGGGAGATAGAAGATGAATGAATGAAAATTCAATAATTTGCCTTAAAGACACATTTACTACATGCCTATTATGTACTAGACACTGAAATCATAAATAAGATTCAGGCGCTTCTCTTGAGAAACATAAAATACAATTCAAAATACATAGAAACATAAAATACAATTCAAATACAATACAAAACACATATGAGTTTATCAGGCAGGGAAATAGAGATAAGGGTGCCCCTGGAAGAAAAAGCAACAAATGTGAGGACGTTCAGGGCAGTGAGGACAATTTGGGGGAGAACTGCAAGTGTAGCAGTGGATTCAGGACATCTGCAGTTTACAATGTAGAATGTAGGGGAAGGTAAAGGTGAATTAAGAGACTAAGCTAAATAGGTCAGATCATGAAAAACTATATCCCATATTTGGATTTTCTCTTGAAAACAATAGGGAGTAATTCTAGGAATATAAGTAGAAAAATGATATAAATTCATTTGTATCTTATCAAAGATCCCATGACAACCATGGAAAGGAAAGGAACAAGGAAAGATGAAAGTAAGAGGTGCTGGTAGACCAGCAAGCAGGCCTTTGGAGCAATTCAGCGCAAGTAAGAGCCTTCCCGAAGTCATTGTCACTTACTGAGAATGAGCAGGTGTGGATGAGTCTTTGTCCCTTGAAGGTGTGGGAGAGAATAGACTACTGCTTACAGGAGGGCTTGGTCCAGAAAGGGTTGGAGTTTTTCAGTGTTTATTGTGTTTCATCTGGGGTTTTTAAATATTTTAATGAATCAAATGTAGGCACGTTTAGACGCTTAATGGGCAGAGCCAGTGGAGAGGAGAAGCTGATGTTGCAAGCCAGGAGGTAATAGAACAAGGACCTACAGGAGGGAATCCAGAGACCAGCTGGCCATATCTTGTGTAACGCAGCTTGAGCGCTGTACAACCACAAGGACACTTTCCACATTATAGCTTATGTGAACAAACAGTGCTAGGCAGGACACCTTCTGCATGGTGGAGAGAGAAGGTCATAAGCAATAGAAGAATTAGCCTTGGCCAATGAGGAACAGTTGGAAAAGAGTAAGGGGCACAGATACAAAATACTGGTCCTCTTTAAAATCAGAGTCAAGTGGCTAGGTGACAAGAGCTAGTGTCAATGTTATTTTGCCAGATTACCTTGTAAAGAATTATGTCAAAAATGCCTTAAGTGAAATAGTAAAAAGAAAAATTCAAATGTTTGTGGTTTATGTAATTTTTTTTTTTTTTGGGACAGAGTCTCACTCAGTTGCCCAGGCTGGAGTGCAGTGGCTCGATCTCTGCTCACTGCAATCTCCGCTCACTGCAAGCTCTGCCTCCTGGGTTCACGCCATTCTCCTGCCTCAGCCTCCTGAGTAGCTGGGACTACAGGCGGCTGCCACCACGCCCAGCTAATTTTTTTGTATTTTTTTAGTAGAGACGGGGTTTCACCGTGTTAGCCAGGATGGTCGCAATCTCCTGACCTCTTGAACCACCCGCCTCGGCCTCCCAAAGTGCTGGGATTACAGGCGTGAGCCACTGCACCCGGCCTGTTGTTTATGTAATTTTTATTCATCCAATCAGAAAATGAAAATAAGTTTCCTGCTTCCAAGTTAACAAGACTCTCCTTTTGGAGAATGAATCAGTATTTCTGAGATACAAATCAAGAAGTGAGGTTATGGAGAGAAGGAACAGCTAGCCATTGCTGTAGCAACTATTTGTTCTTCTGGTTGGCATATATTATCCCCAGTTAAAACAAATGCATAGCTGTATTTATACATTTCTTATATTTTTTCTAGTTTGTTTGTTTTTTAAGACAGGCTTTAACTATATTGCCCAGGCTAGAGTGCAGTGGTGCAATCTCAGCTCACTGCAGCCTTGACTTCCTGAGCTCAAGCGATCCACCAATCTAACCACCTTGGCCTCTCAAAGTGCTGGGATTACAGGCATGAACCACCATGTCCAGCCCAACTTTCTAGTTTCTAAAAGTAGAGCCAGACAACCTTAAAGGTCTAGATACAACAACATTATCCATGTTTAACCTGGCCACCTCTATCACACAGAAACTTTTTCAACTTCCTGTCTCTATCCATAGATCTACTGTATCTGTGAAGAGATGTTTACTTTTTAATTTGATTTACCTCCTTGTGAGACAAATTATCAAAAGATAATTGGAGATAATTAAAAATAAATTTTAAATCCTTTATATATCTTTGAAGTAACCAAATCATGTTAAAAGTGTAACATAACGTAATCATATTTTTATTTCAAAAATGAAATTATGAAGCTCTTTTCATTTGCAGTTACTTGCCAGAACAAGTTATTGGCTAGTTCATATATTTTAAATTAAAAAATAAATGTGCATGTGTGGAAAATACACAGAGCCCACAAAATCTTTCTCCAAATCTTCTACTTAACAATTTATTATTTGTCCTAGTCTTAAATGGTAATATCACTTGGTAAAGTTACTAAAAGTCACTGAATTGTAGAAATAGGTGGGTTTTATGATTTGTAAAATATACCTCAATAATACTGTTTAAACAAATACAAATGCAAACAAAGTTGGAGTGAGGAGGGATATGCTTTAACAAGAATGTCACTTGATTACGAAATGCTAAAATATAGCCATTGTTATTAAGCCAATGCTGTCTGTAGAGAGAGTTAATGTTTGTTACATTTTAAGAGATTTTTATCCTTCATACTTTTCTTTGACTACATCAGAGCATGGTGGCAGGAATAAAGGTCAGGTTCTCACGAAAGGTGATTCCTAAGGAGGGAGAGGAAGAGGGGGAAAAGCTCTTTGTTTTCTCATCCTGGCAGGATTCCAATTTGTAGCTTACTGTACTGTCATCAAAAGTTATTGAAGTAATCGGTATTTCGGGGAGATGTTAAAACAGAAAGAAGAAGCTGAAACATCTTGGAAATTTCATAAAAAATCATAGTTCCATTGTTTGTAAGCAGAAAAGTTAACCAGTTTGCTACTGGGATTAAGACAAGCTCTGTGATTCTAGGAAAATTGTCATTAGGTTTGAGTGTAAACAGAACTTCATGGCCTTCTTTCAAGGTACTATAGATAAGCTGACAATTAATGAAAGTTTTGTACTCGGTTGTCTCATAAAGAGATTAATATTAAATGTTTTTATTTTCTATAATGAGAATAAAGAAATAGCTACCACTATGCCAAGTATTTATCTAAAATAATATGAAGAATATATAAAGAAAATGTCTGCTTATGTTACAGGTGTGTTCTTAATTTGATAGATAAATGGGGGAAACATAATAAATCACTTTTCAATGTATATTAAAAATAAATCTTACCATGGGACAGTGTGTTTCAGATGAGAGTTGTTCTATTCTAAAAGTACTTTCTTATCTATTTATTCCTTTTCCCAATACTTTTTCATTATTTAGAAAATACATTCTTCTTAAAAAATTTGATACATCACTGATGGCTAAAGTTCCCTTTGATTCTCTTGCTTCATGATTCTAATTCACTCCTTTCTCCCCCAGGGGTAACTGCTATTACAGGTTTGATAATGTGTTCTTCCAGACTTATCTCTATGGATTTCCCCAGGAATGTATCTCACACATTTTTTCAATTTTTTTTAATTCATTATAGTAAATGTATTGTGGTGCTTCACAGATTCTTGAAAATTCTATTTCCTGTATTGCTTCCTCCTGCTGCGATGTTCCTTCCCTCGCCCTTCTGTCCAAAATGCAGCGTCCTCAAAGTCTCCTTCCTGGGCTGTCTGCTCTGTCTGTCTGCTGTTCCTTCCATGGCTAATCTAGTGTCACAGAAGGAAAAAATAAGAAATCAGTATCTCAGGCCTGAGCTCAGTCCTAGTTCTCCAGTGGCTGCCAGACAATCTCCACTTCAGGATGTACCTTAAACTCACTATGCCCAAACAGAACTCACTCTCATTTTTCCCTCTCAACTTTGTTCTGTGTTTCATTCTCCCGACCACCAGACTCAAAACCTTTTCTATCATCAGTCACCAAGCCTTGTCAGTGTTTTTTTTTCAATGTCTCCAACATCCTTTTCCTCATTTTTTCCCTCGTGATCCTCAACCCTAATGTAGGTCTCCATCACCTTGTGGTTAGATAATTATTATATTTTATCCATTCCACTAATGTACTGGATTCATTTTTGTCACACAAATTATTCCAGTGCCTCTGTCTTCAACTCTTAACTCTATATGTGATGGCTTCTGGTTCTGTGTTTCCCATTCAGAATTTTCTACTGAGCCACATTCATGTCACTCTAACTAGCAGACTTGTCTTCCCAGTCCCTCAGATAACCCAAACCCTTCCCCTACTCCTTACCCCTGTCATCCAGTCATAGCCAGCCAACTCCAGAATGCTCTTTGACAACCTCACTGCTCACTGTCTTTATTTGGCCCCATAGCTTCCTCACCGCTTACCATCTCTGTAGACACGGAGTTTAAACAGACTCCACTCCTGCTCAGAACTATATAATGGCTTTCTTGTGCCTAGCCTACAAGGAACCGCTTGCCCTGCCCTCTACCTGCCTCTCCAACTGTCTTTCCCCCAACTCTATGCTTGTCTTTTCCTCATACCTAGAGCCATCAGAGAACCCACACTTTCCAGGACTATCTTGGTTCCAGATAGTCTCTTCATGATCCGATCACGTGTCATATTTTGTCTTGATATTTGCTTTACAAATTATAATAATCCTATGTATAACATTTTTTGGCTATATCACACTTCTGTCAGGCAGCCCTGTAATAATAATGTCAGATCTGCAAAATGACCTTGGATGAAGAACCCATGATTCTGAAAAGGTTGTTCATTTCACAGACATTTATTGAGTTAGGTGAATTATCCAAGATCATGTAGTTATTATAGAATCAGGCTGAGATTAAATACAGTTTCAGGCTGTGATTATTTCACTATTATTTCCTACCTGACTTCTACCTTGAGTTCCTTTCCCACATAAAAAGTATGTGTTTATATTTTCTTTCCAACCTGATTATGAGTTTCTGAAGAAGAGAGACTGTGTCTAAGGTCTCTTTTGTGTCCACGCTAGTACTGAGGGGGCATGTACTCAGTTGCTGCTGCCGTAGTTGCTATTGTGATATTGTTACATGTGCCCAATTTGAATTTGAATTCCACCGTCAGATGAGAACACTGACCTTTCTTCATCTAGCTGACCTAGACCTAGGTTAGAGATTGAAGTCTGACTCTAAAATAGTATAATTTTTTAATGTGTCAGTTTTCTCTCTTCAGGTCCTTGGAAAGTACTGACCCAAGGGAACCCTGTACTGCCCACCCTTAGAGATACTACAGAAGCCAGGACAGCCGTGCGCTCTCATTGTCCCCACATCATCGCTGTCCATCTTGTTGCATGTCTGTCCATCTCTCTGGGAGAAATTCATTGTTTTACAAGGCTCGTAACATTTCTCTGCAGCTCTCTGCACTTGTGGCAGAAAGTTTGTGCCTTGTGACACTTGTCAAAGAACACTTTATAATTTAATATTGTCTTACAATAGTGCATTTCATGAGAATCAGACTTTCAGCAATATTAATCATGAATCAGTGTTCAACAACATTAACTGTAACCATTGCCCTTCAAGGTATCTAATCTGCAATTAAATATGACTGACTTCATTTCTGAAGTCCAGCCAGCAAAAATGCAGTCATAACTATCCTGTGTTTGCACTTCATAAAGGGCACTCCAATTACTTCCTGAACATGTGTTTGTTCCCTTACAGTGTTTCACTCTCTGCTACTTGGAGCCAAGTTTCAGAATTTTTTAATTGACTACTGAAGCTGAAATGAAGCAAGGATTCTTAGATACAAGATTTATAATCACGTGTACAATATAATTTGAAAAATTACCAAATATCATAGCCGACTGCGGGGGCAGCTAAAGTAGCACCCATATGAATGAGGGAGTGTCTCAGGCTGCCTTGTGACAAGCACAGCGTGCGCTTCAGCATGCAATTCCCCTGCAGAACTGCCATTTCCTGAGATGTTTCCACTCTCTGGCTTTCATAAGAAAGACGTATTGAAAGGTAGACTCGAAAAGGGCCCCAACCTCTCAAACTGGATTAGAAGAAATATCTAACTCTATCTTTGCATGCAGACCATTTTGTAATTTATTCTTGACCGCCACTAGCTCCCATGAAAAAATATCCCAAGGCCTTAGATAAACTATTTCATATAAGTGAAATATCTATGTAAAATATTTTCTAGGCTTAATTTCAGTCTCCTTTCCAAATGAAAGTCTCCGATATTTCTCTCAGTATTTTGATTATTAAAGAACAAATTGTTCTTTACTCATTCACAAAAATCTGCCCTTCAATACAATTGCTATGACTACTTGAATTTTGACATTTTACTGGAATCCAAACTTCAATTAAATTTTTTTTCTAATTCTGTTTACAGTATGAGTAGTTGATGAAATGGTAGATAAGTAATGGTAAAGAAATGTATTGTCATATCTTCAGATAATTTCTAGTGGCATTTAGATCAACAGAGTATATCTGGACTCCTGTGATCTTAGCTGAATTTATTTTAGTAATTCAAAGTTAACAGATTGTTATTGGGCACAATCTATGTACTGCACATATGCGCTGGGCCCTGAGGGGCCAGACATAACTAAGGTGTGGAGTGTATTGTTAGATGTCTACCAGTCCATTAATTTGACAAACTTATTTGTGATTAACAATAATATATAATAGAAAGATGTTTAAAAGCAGCACAATAGAAGTGATGTAAAAGCAAAGAGGATTTGTTGAATTAAGTTCAAGGTCTTCAAAGGTCTTTAAAAATCTGGCTAAGCCTGCCTTCCTGGTTTACGCTTCTGTGGTTCTTCATTCTATATCTGAGCTACATTACAACCACATTATTTCAAATGTTTCCCAGTAGTTTCACAGTTCCGTATCTCTGCTAACATTTTCCCTTTTATCTGGAGTGTCCTTCTCCCACTTTGTCAATAGTCAGTTTAAATTTCTTCTTGTCTATGAAATTCCCTCTAACTCTTGCACATTTTATATAAATAGAATCACATAGTATGTGTTCTTTTGTGTCTCTCTTCTTTCACTTAGCATATGTTTTGAAGGCTCATCCATGTTGTAGCATGTATCAGTACTTCACTCCTTTTTATGTCTGAATAAATAAATATTTCATTGTATGTATGAACCACATTTTGCTTATCCACTCATTAGTTGACGTACATTTGGGTTGGATCTACTTTTTGGCTATTATGAATAATGCTAGGATGAACATTTCTGTAGAAGCCTTCGTACGGGCATATATTTTCAGTTCTCTTGGGTATAAGCCTAGGGGTGGAATTGCTGAATCATATGTTAACTCTATGTTTAACTTTTTGAGGAATGACAAAGCAGCTGCCTGATTTTGCATTCCTTTCAGCAATGTTTGATGGTTCCAGTTTCACTACATCTTCACCAACAATTGTTACCATCTGTTTTTTTATTATAGCCATCCTACTGGATGTGAAGCGATGTCTCATTGTGTTTTGATTTGCATTGCCCCAATGAATAATGATGTTGAACATCTTTTCATGTGTTTAATGGCCAATACTATATCTTCTTTAGATAAATGTCTTATCAAATTCTCTGTTAATTCTTTATTCTGGATATAAGACCCTTATCAGATATATGATATGCAAATATTTTCTCATATTCTATGGGTTGTCTTTTCAATTTTTTTTTTTTTTTTTTTTTTGAGACAGAGTCTCACTCTGTCACCCAGGCTGGAGTGCAGTGGCGTGATCTCGGCTCACTGCAACCTCCGCCTCCCGGGTTCAAACGGTTCTCCTGCCTCAGCCTCCTGAGTAGCTGGGATTACAGGCGCATGCCACCATGCCTGGCTAATTTTTGTATTTCTAGTAAAGACAGGGTTTCACCATGTTGGTCAGGCTGGTCTTGAACTCCTGACCTTGTGATTGGCCCAGCTAGGCCTCCCAAAGTGCTGGGATTACAGGCATGAGCCACTGTACCTGCTTTTCAAATTTTTGATAGTGTCCTTTGAAGCACAAAATTTTTAATTTTGATGAAGTCCAATTAATCTATTATTTTCTTGTTTATAAAGTTGATGACACATCTAATAAACTGTTGCATAATGTAAGATCATGAAGATTTACATCTGAGTTTTTTTCTAAGAGTTTTATAGTTTTATTTAGGTCTTTGATCCATTTAGGTCTTTGATCCATTTTGGTCTTTGATCCATTTTGAGTTAGTTTTTACATATGCTGTATGGTATGAGTCTAGTTTCATTCTTTTGCATGTGTATATCCAGTTGTCCCAGCACCATTTGCTGAAAAGAATATTATTTTCCCATGGAATTGGTGTTTTGGCCCTCTTGTCAAAAATCTGAACCTAATTTTTCAAAAAACTAATTTAGGATTCTCACTCTTCTCCCTCCCACCTTCATTTTCTGAGAACATTAACTTTCAATTCAATAGAGATATGAGCATGATTTAGATCTACAAAATATAATAGCACAGTCCAGAGGTTTCTATTTTTTTTCAAGCAGCAATCAGGAAAGACTGCTCTTATCCTCCTACCTCCCAAATCTGCCAACATATTCACATCTGCATCCTTATACTCTGCCTTCTCTCCCATTACAGTGGATGAGCTGAACCCGCACCTCTCTAGAGTCACGTACATGTATTCTTGTATGTGTACTCTGAGTCTCATCCCCTCTCGCTCAAGGGCTATGTTGGAGGCTACCTCCATCCTTTATATCATCACTTTCCCCATTTTTTCTAGATGAGTCCCATCAGCAAAGAAATATGCAATAAATAACTCTCAACATTTTTGTAATCCCTCTCTAGAAACCATATTCCTCTTCTCCGTTGGAGCAAATCTCTGATAAAGGATTGTATGTACTTGCTGTCTTTATATCCTTTCCTCTCATTCTTCAATCCACACACCACTTAATGTGTTCTTGTTAAGAACAACAGCCTCTATCATGGCAAATCCAAAGGTCAGTCTACTGTTCTCATCTTACTCTATCTCTCAGCACTATTTGACCCAACTGATCACTCCTTTTTGAAGCACTTTCTTCACTTTGCTTAATGTAACATTACAGTCTCCTGGTTTTCCTCTGGCCTTCCTGGATATCTTTTCTTAGTCTCTTTTGTATAAGCTTTCTTCTTTTCGAGACTTCTCAAATTTAGAGAACCCAAATCTCAGTCCTCTGACGTCCTCTCAACCTATACTCATTCCTGGGTGCTTTCATTCAGTTCTGTGATTTTAAACGCTATCTTTACTCATAAGCCTCCAAAAATTATACTTCTAGCTCTAGCCTCTTCATTATATTCCAGGTAGTTATATCCAGTTGGCAAGACCAGCTACTTAATTTGTTCTCCCCATCCTCCACCCCCCAGGACAACGTTGGGGGGCAGATTTAACAATTATTAAAAATGTTAAGATGTTGACAGCAAAGCATAGGGCCCTTCTGAGTATGGGCTCTGTGAGACTGCACTTTTCTTTTTTTGTTTTGTCTCACTATGTTGACCAGGCTGGTCTCAAACTCCTGGCCTCAAGTGATCCTCCCACCTCAGCCTCCCAAAGTATTGGGATTACAGGCGTGAGCCACTGTGCCCAGCCAAAACTGCACATCTTATATGCCCCTGCCAGTTGAACAAGTCCACTTCAATATTTAACAAGCATCTCACATTCAATCTACACACAATAGAATTCCTAATTTACACCCCTAATTTACATATTTTTCCTTTGTCTATTGACTGTCTATTCCATGAGATTGTAAGCTCCGTAAAGGCAGGAACTTCAATTTTATTTGCTCCTCTATACACTCTATTGCCTTAAAGAGTACTTGTTGAATGAATAAATAGATGTGTGCTTTATTTTTAAAAATAAGGTTTGGCTTTTATTTTTATAAATCTGGAATAGCTAACAGGCTATTTTATAAATAATTGCTGTTAGATCTATAACCCATACCAGGTGGATTACATATTTAAACATAAAAATAAAATAGCAAAAGTATTGGAAGACAATATGGGTATATATGTTATAATGGAGCTGGAAAGGAGTTTCTAAGTGTAGAGTTAAAAAAAGAGGTTTCACAGTATAACATTTTTAGAATTCTGAATGTCAAAAATAAAACAAAAGCCCAGGAACAAAATAAATAACATGATGATAAGAGTATTTGCATTATATAGAGAGAACATTTAATATTCTTTATATAGAGAGAACACAAGTAAAACAATGAAAAAAACACAAAGAAGGGAAAAATGAAAAAATGCTGTGAACAGGAAATTCACAATAGTAGAAGTAAGTGTAATCTCACTAATAATCAGAGAAATTTAATCTGCAACTATAAGGAGCTGCATCTTCCAATGTTTATGAGCATAGAAGGAAATAAACACTAGCTGCAGGTAAAAGTGCAAGTACTGCAGTGAAATTTGTCATTATTTATCAAACAGCTAAAAATGTGTATTTTCTTTTTCTTTTTCTTTTTTTTTTTTGAGACGGAGTCTTGCTCTGTCGCCCAGGCTGGAGTGCAGCGGCACAATCTCGGCTCACTGCAAGCTCCGCCTCCCGGGTTCACGCCATTCTCCTGCCTCAGCCTCCCGAGTAGCTGGGACTACAGGCGCCCGCCACCACGCCCGGCTAATTTTTGTGTAGTTTTTAATAGAGGCGGGATTTCACCGTGGTCTCCATCTCCTGACCTCGTGATCCGCCCGCCTCGGCATCCCAAAGTGCTGGGATTACAGGCATGAGCCACCGTGCCCGGCCAAAATGTGTATTTTCTTTTACACTCATTAATTATCCTAGGAAATTATTCTACAGATATCATTCTCAATGTGCTGAAAGATAGAGCTTCAAGATTTTTGTTCATGGCACTTTTATTTTAGCACTTCTTTTCCATATTCAGTGCTTAATAATATGGAGTCATAAAATAAGCTGTTACAAATTATATTTTGCTGCACAATAGCAGTCTTCAAAACTTTTGTTTCAAGCCCTTTTGGTATATTGTTATACGTAGGTATATCCCTGGGGGTAGGTTTCAGGACCTCCCTTGGGTACCGAAATTCATGGACAACTTAAGTCCCTGATATAAATGACATATTTGCATATAACCTATGCACATCTTCCTGTATACTTTAAATCATCTCTAGATTACTTATAATACCTAATACAATGTAAATGCTATTTAAAGAGTTATATTGTTTAGGGAATAATGACAAGAAAAGAAAGTCTGTGCATGTTCAATAAAGAAGCATTTTTTTTCCCAAATATTATTGATCTTAGGTTGGTTGAATCCATAGATGTGGAACCCATGGACACAAAAGGCCAACTATATTCTTAAATGTTACTGAGAACACAAAGAAATTTCATTTATGTGGGCTATATCTATTGACATATAAATATAACTGAAAAAGGAAGACTTTTAATATGTATTTATCACTGTTTAAAAATAATCATTTTAACATAATTTTGTTTTGTTTTGCTTTTTTTTTTTTTTTTTTTTTGAGACGGAGTTTCCCTCTTGTTGCCCAGGCTGGAGTGCAATGGTGTCATCTCGGCTCACCGCAACCTCCGCCTCCCAGGCTCAAGCGATTCTCCTGCCTCAGCCTCCCAAGTAGCTGGGATTACAGGCATGTGCCACCACACCTGGCTAATTTTTTTGTATTTTTAGTACAGACGGGCTTTCTCCATGTTAGTCAGGCTGGTCTCAAACTCCCAACCTCAGGTGATCTGCCCACCTCGGCCTCCCAAAGTGGTGGGATTACAGGCGTGAGCCACCGTGCCCGGCAAAGGCTGACTATATTCTTAAACGTTACTGAGAACACAAAGAAATTTCATTTATATGGGCTGTATCTATTGACATATAGATATAACTGAAAAATAAACAGTTTTAATATGTATTTATCACTATTTAAAAATAATCATTTTGGTCAGGCGCAGTGGCTCACACTTGTAATCCCAGCACTTTGGGAGGCCGAGGTGGGTGGATCACCTGAGGTCTGGAGTTCAAGACCAGCCTGACCAACATGGGAGAAACCTCGTCTCTACTAAAAATACAAAATTAGCCAGGCATGGTGGCGCATGCCTGTAATCCCAGCTACTCAGGAGGCTGAGGCAGGAGAATCACTTAAACCCTGGAGGCAGAGGTTGTGGTGAGTGGAGATCGTGCCATTGCACTCCAGCCTGGGCAACAAGAGTGAAACTTCGTTTCAAAAAAGTAAAATAAAAATAATCATCATTTTAACATAATTTTTTTTTTTCTTGAGATGGAGTTTCACTCTGTCGCCAAGGCTGGAGTGCAGTGGCACAATCTCGGCCCTCTGCAACCTCCACCTCCCGGGTTCAAGTGATTCTCCTGCCTCAGCCTCCCAAATAGCTGGGATTACAAACACCCGCCACCATGCCCGGCTAATTGTTGTATTTTTAGTAGAGACGGGGTTTCACCATGTTGGTCAGGCTGGTCTCAAACTCCCGACCTCAGGTGATCCACCCGTCTCAGCCTCCCAAAGTTCTGGGATTTACAGGCATGAGCCACCGCACCTGGACCATTTATTAAATATAACTACACTTTTTAAATGAAAAAGAGTGAGAAGATCTCATTGTTTTCCATTTTTGCCAAGTTCTAACAACTGGCTTAATATTAATAGAAGACAGCTGGATTCTCATATCTGCTTCTGCATTAAATCTGTTGCCATATTTTAGAAAGCTTGACTGTACATTCATAAATGAATCAGAGTGAAAAAAGTAGATGACATCTTAGTATTACTATGACAATTTTTATACCTTGCAGATCCTCCCAAGAGAGTCTCAAGAACCTCCAAGGGTACTTGGGCCATAATTTGAGAATTTCTGCTATGCAGTATAACCACTAAAAATACTTTTAAGGACTAGAAATGTCATAGAAATGTATTACTGACTACTAAATGAAAAATAGTGTTACAAAACAATACATATTGCATAATCTTTTTTATTGTGGTAATGTATATATAACATAAAATTTACCATTTTAATCATTTTAAGTATGCAGTTCAGTAGTATTAAGTACATTCACATTGTCCTATCTTTTATGTATGAATTTTTTTACAATGAAAGAATATAGAATTTTGTTAAACACTGGATATGGAAGCAATGGGATTGTGTTTAACTTTAATCTTGTCTATATTTTTAAATTTTTTCTAGAATGAACATATACTGTATAATTTATAATGCAAAAAAAATTTGTTTTAAGTCAAGGATGGATGACAGATGCTTCAAGGAGGAAGTGTTAATTGTCATGTTTCAGAGAAATTATATAGAGCAGGGGTCCCCAACCCCCAGGCCATGGACTGGTACAGGTCCATGGCCTATTAAGAACCAGGCCACACTAGGAGGTGAGCAGCAGGTGAGTGAGTGAAGCCTCATCTTTATTTACAGCCTCTCCCCATCACTAGCACTACTGCTTGAGCTCTGCCTCCTGTCAGACCAACAGCTGCATTAAATTCTAATAGGAATGCAAATCCTATTGGGAACTACACATGCAAGGGATCTAGGTTGCACGTTCCTTGTGAGAATCTAATGCCTGATGATCTGTCACTGTCTCCCATCTCCCCCAGATGGGACAATCTAGTTGCAGGATAACAAACTCAGGGCTCCCACTGATTCTACATTATGATGAATTGTATAATTATTTCACTATATATTACAATGCAATAATAATAGAAATAAACTGCACAATAAATGTAATCACTTGAATCATCCTGAAACTACCCACCCCCTAGTCTGTGGAAAAGTTGTCCTCCATTAAACCAGTCCCTGGTGGCAAAAAGGTTGAGGACCACTGATGTAGAGTGACAACTGAGCTGCTTTGTGACTTGCAATTGTGACTTCAGTCATTCAGGAGGAGAAAATCCACTGAATGGACAAATCAGAATAGGCATGAGAAGCTGAGAAAGGATGAGTTTTGTTTTGATGGATGGGTATGAGCTAGGGAGGATATTCCAGGCTAGGAGAAAGACCTAAACAAAAACTAGTGATGGGAAAGCAGGGCACGATAGGGGGCAAAGTGGTTCATTCAGCTGGGCCCCCAGTCCATGTATGTGTCTGTAGAGGAGGAGAATACCAGGCCTGCTGAGCATGTGTGGAATTTAGATTTTACATTGTAGGCTATGAAAAGCAATCAAAGCTTTGTGACATGATTAAAGCAGTATTTGGGGAGATCAATTCTGTACAATCTGAATTTAAGGTGAACAAGACCAAAATAAGTAAAATTCACTAGGAAAAAAAAAGCTGTAATGCAGAGGTTAATACAAATTTAAATGCGGGAAAGGGAGGGTGAAGGGGAATGGAAGAGAACAGTGGTGGTAATAGACTAATGGACAGGGAAGGAAGAGAGAGATAATAGTATTTCATTTAAACTTTTATTAACAAAGTATTCATTCAGGTATCACTTGGTTTGGCCAAATTCTGTACTATTTGTTTTGTAGACAGTGATTTGAAGTCTAGGATGATATTATTTCCAGAGGTATTTACAGTTGTTAAAATTATTTCACTAGGCTGTTTTTAAAGTTTTAAAATTGGATTGATTTGTTTTAAAGTTGTCTTCTTAAAGTAGTATTTTGGAGAATTATTGTGGAATTATCATTTGTTTTTAATGCATTTTTTTCTACTTAGTATTTTTATTGTATATATTTAGAGTGTAAAATATGATGTTTTGATATGCATAGTGAAATGCTTAGTACAATGCATTTTCTTTATTTAAATAGTGAGTTAATTTCAGTGCTTTTTTGGGGATTCACTAGTTTTATTGGCTTGCTTCATTAATGTATGTCTAGCTTATTTCCTAATTAATTTGAAATTTTATTTTTTCCACTTACATATTTCCTCACCAAAATTCAATGAGGAAAAAAAGATTTTTGGTTTCAAATTCTAATAATGCTCTATACATGAATGACACTAAGAAAAGATAATATAAACATACAAACAATTATTTGATGCACTGAGTCTAATTTTCTGAAATGGATTTTTTTTTTTTTTGCCAGGCATGGCGGCTCACGCCTATAATCCCAGCACTTTGGGAGGCTGAGGCAGGAGGACCACTTGAGTGAAGGAGTTTGAGACCAACTTAGGCAACATAGTGAGACCTTATCTCTACAAAAAAAAGTAAAAAAAAAAAAAAAAAAAAAAAAAAATAGCCAGGCCTGGTGGTGTGCACCTGTAGAGCCAGCTACTTGGGAGCCTGAGGTGGGAATTGCTTGAGTCTGGGAGACGGAGGTCTCAGTGAGCCCTGGGTGACACAGTGAGACTCTGTCTCGTAAAATTAAATTAAATTAATAAATTAAATAAATTGGATTTTTTTTTTAAGACGGAGTCTCACTCTATCACCCAGGCTGGAGTGCAGTGGCGTGATCTCAGCTCACTGCAAACTCTGCTTCCCAGGTTCAAGCGATTCTCCTCCCTCAGCCTTCCGAGTAGCTGGGATTACAGGCACCCACCACCACACCTGGCTAGTTTTTGTATTTTTAGTGGAGATGGGGTTTCACCATGTTGACCAGGCTGGTCTTGAACTCCTGACCTCAGGTGATCCACCTGCCTCAGCCTCCTAAAGTGCTGGGATTACAGGCGTGAGCCACCATGTTCAGTCTTGGATTTTTATGTGGAATTTTTAAATATTTTGTTTCATTTTTATTTTTGTTTTTAAATCAGATCATCTAAAATGCAGTCAGAGTTTGACACTTTAAGGACTAATACTGTAGTTTTTTAAATAGGACCTATTCTTTTTTTAATACTTTGATTTTTCAAAAGAAAATGTTTAATGAACAAAATAAGGCAGAAGGCTTTAACTCACTGAGGTGCTATTCATTACTTATTTGTTTTTTAAGTTCCGGGTACATGTGCAGGGTGTGCAGGTTTATATAGGTAAACGTATGCCATGGTGGTTTGCAGCACCTGTCAACCCATCACCTACATATTAAGCCCCGTGTGCATTAGCTGTTTTTCCTGATGCACTCCCTCCCTCCAACAGGCCCCAGTGTATGTTGTTCTGCTCCCAGTGTCCATGTGTTCTCTTCGTTCAGCTCCCACTTATACGTGAGAACATTTGGTATTTGATTTTCTGTTTCTGCATTAGTTTTCTATGGATAATGGCTTCTGGCTCCATCCATGTGCCTAAAAACGACATGATCTTGTTCCTTTTTACGACTGCATAGCATTCCATGGAGTGTGTATACCACATTTTCTTTATCCAGTCTATCATTGATGGGCATTTGGGTTCATTCCATGTCTTTGCTATTGTGAATAGTGCTGTGGTGAACATACATGTGCATGTATCTTTATAATAGAATGATTTATATTTTGGGGTGTATATACCCACTAATGGGATTGCTGAGTCAAATGGTATTTCTGTTCTAGATCTTTGAGGAATCACCACACTGTCTTCCACAATGGTTGAACTAGTTTACATTTCCACCAACAGTGTAAAAGTGTTCCTTTTTCTCCTTAACCTTGCCAGCCTCTGTTGTTTCTTGACTTTTTAATAATCACTATTCTGACTGGCATGAGATGGTATCTCATTGTGGTTTTGATTTGCATTTCTCTAATGATGAGTGCTGTTGAGCTTTTTTTCATGTTTGTTGGCCACATAAACATCTTCTTTTGAGTAGTGTCTGTTCATGTCCTTGCCCACTTTTTAATGGGGTTGGTTTTTTTCTTGTAAATTTGTTTAAGTTCCTCGTAGACTCAATATTAGACCTTTGTCAATTGGATAGATTGCAAAAATATTCTCCTATTCTGTAGGTTGTCTGTTCACTCTGATGATAGTTTCTTTTGCTGTGCAGAAGCTCTTTAGTTTAATTAGATCCCATTTGTCAATTTTTGCTTTTGTTGCAATTGCTTTTGGTGTTTTCATCATGAAATCTTCGCCCATGCCTATGTCCTGAATGGTATTGCCAAGATTTTCTTCTAGGGATTTTATAGTTTTGGGTTTTACATTTAAATATTTAATCCATCTTGAGTTAATTTTAGTATAAGGTATAAGGAAGGGGTCCAGTTTCAGTTTTCTGCATATGGCTAGCCAGTTCTCCCAGCACCATTTATTAAATAGGGAGTCCTTTCCCCATTGCTTGCTTTTGTCAGGTTTATTGAAGATCAGACGGTTTTAGGTGTGCAATGTTATTTCTGAGTTCTCTATTCTGTTCCATTGGTCTATTTGTCTGTTTTTGTACCAGTACCATGCTGTTTTGGTCACTGCAGCCTTGTAGTATAAACTCAGGTAGTGTGATACTTCCAGCTTTGTTCTTTTTGCTTGAGATCGTCTTGGCTATTTGGGGTCTTCTTTGGTTCCATATGAATTTAAAAAAAAATTCTAATTCTGTGAAGAATGTCAGTGTTAGTTTAATGAGAATAGTATTGAATCTATAAATTATTTTGGGCAGTGTGGCCATTTTCACGATACTGATTCTTCCTATCCATGAACATGAGATGTTTTTCCATTTGTTTGTGTCCTTTCTGATTTCTTTGAGCAGTGGTTTGTACTTCTCCTTGAAGAGGTCCTTCATTTCTCTTGTTAGCTATATTCCTGGACTTATTCTTGATAACCCAAATAATTATTACTTCCCCTTATTTTTATTTTAAATATATTTTCACTTATTTATTTACAGGGTCAATTCAAATAAAAACACTTCACTTGGTGTTAAAGCAAATTATTTACCAGCCAGTATATTGACATTAAGAGATTTTTATGCTTGCGCTTGGTATTTCATGTCTCAGGAATATGACGAGTTTATTTTATGTTTTATAGACATAGAATCAGCCAGTCAGTTACCATATCACACTAAATAATTTTGACATGTCTCTAAGGAAGCCCTGCTAAAGCCTGCTTCTCCGCTGTCAGGAAATATCATTTAACAAGGTGAAAGTTCAAGGGGACAATTTAAGGCAGCTGATCTCAGGTGTGGTAGCAGCTGTTGTGTGGGACATGACTTATTTTATGAGAACAGAAACACTATTATCCGGACTCCCACGGGAGATTTGGAGAAAGTCATGCCCAGAGAGTCCCATTCCAGGAAAATGTGCTTGAAGCACTTATTTATTGGCAATAATCACTAACTGAAAGTCCATCTGGCAAAACTGTGGATTTTTCCCTGTCCCAGAAAGTTGAGGAACAATTACATAAGTTGTCTCGAAAATTTTATTTTTAACCACTTTTTATGGATAATTTTATAGTCCCTCAGTTCTTACAAGAAATTCACTTAAAAAAAAAAAAGCATCCACATGAATTTCTATACAACTTTGCTACTTCATGTACCATGAATAACTGCTTGTCTTTTGATTTGAAATCAGTACTTAATCTTTTTGGGGAATGTTTTGAATCTTATTTTCTGTGTTTGAAATGTTGGAGCCAGTTCGTTGGTGAAGAAGGGAACCCTGAATCATGTACTTCCAGCTGTGGAGGCCTTTAAACCCCACCTCTCTTAGCAGCTCTTCCCTCCCCTCTTCACTGACAGCTTGACAAGATTTTAGAATCCAAATGAATGAACACTGTGAGCCATTTGGGAGTCCAGCAAGCCTACTCAGATAGATTTTAATGAAGTAAGCCCGTATCACTTTTAAAAGCAAGATACATCATCAGAATTAAAGAGGGGCATCTTTGGAAAAACAATGATATAATTTCTATCTCTATGGGATATTTTTCTTTTGCAATCTTATATAGACTGGATAAATCTAATAAATAAATGAGGAAACACATTAAATTATGATGATTTTATTGTTTTTATTTTGGCCTTCAGTAATGCAAGCATATTTATTTCACTGTTACTCAAGAAAATAGTAGTACCTAACTAGAAATCCATTATTCCTATTAGCCTCAGCTTGAGTATCACTGTTTGCTTTCTAAAACAAGCTTTTTATATGGTTTTGTAATTATTCCTTAAGAAATACTTGAGCTTCCTTACATAAAACAACTCACATACCACCTGTTATTTCCATACATTAGTTTTTTAAAGAGGAATACAATCAAGAATACAATTTAAAACTTGATTTTCCATCTGTTTTTTCTTTGCACCTTCCTCTTTCCTCTAACACCCCACCTGCACCACATCCTTCCCCCACTTCAACTGTCTCCTGCCACTCAGTAGCAGAAGAAGTTTGTTATGGTCCAGTGTATGCCTCAGTGTTCAGACAGCCATTATGTAAGACTGTGTAGCCATTATTGAATATATATATGCGCACACACACATATAAATATAAACCTCAGGTGAGAAGAAAGGATTCTTTATTTCCCATATCCAACTAATAATATGTATATCAGTAAGGATAATACTTTATTATCTTGAGGGGCTATTGAATGGTGGAAAAGGTATGGACACTGGCATTTAGATACTGGCTCCATGTCAGCCACTTACTAGCTGAGCATTCACATTAATTGACTTCTTCATTTCCACATCTGTTAAAATGAGCTCAGCATAAATTCACAATAAATACTTGCTGCTTTACCTACACGCACTCCTCTGGTTTCTTCTCCCTTTTTTATTGACATTTTGCTGTTATTGGTAATGATGATGATATTGTCCTGTAAGCCCAGAAATCCACTAGTGTTTTAACACAGTTTGCTGGAAAACTAGTTTACTCAAGAGCTTGTATAACAACACCAGAATATCTAAATTGTATATGCACTAAAAATCTTGGCTTCATGATTCTAAATAACTCATGTTAGATTTAGTCCTTACAATTTATAAATACCATGTATCTTTTGGAGGGCATTGCTCCTTAGTGTGTTTTACAAAGATTGACAAGAATATGAGGAAGAACTCTTGCCTGAGACTCACTCTGTCACCTAGGCTGGAGTGCAGTGGCACAATCATGGCTCACTGCAGCTTCAGCTTCCTGGGCTGAAGCAGTCCTCCCACCTCAGCCTCCCAAGAAGCTGAGATCACAGGCACATACCACCATACCCTGCTAATTTTCTTTTTTGTAGGGATGAGATCTCACTATGTTGCTTAGGCTAGAAGGACCTTCTTATCAAACTTGTAAGAAATAAATTATTTTAATATATCATTATATCTTAGGAAATAAACCTATCTGATTTTAAAACAATATCTGAAAATACATTACTGTGGCCAAGAAATGTTCTTGGTTCTTTGGTTGTTTTCACTTGATGTTGAAATTAAAAGAAACACAGCCACATGGTTTTTGTTGCTCTTGATAGGACAAGAGCAAATGCAGATATTGCCAAACACTTGGAATTTGCTGAAGAAGTTATGTAAGAAAATTAGAAATCTGCAAGCCAGCTAAAACGTGTAAAAGGAAATTGACAACCTAGGAGAAACTGGATAATGTAGAATGCTTAAAAGATTTCAGAAGTTTTGGATAGAATCTTACTTTTAGCACATCTGTGATTGCACATCAATATATAACCCAGGTAGTTTATTCCTTAAGCCAGTTATTTGTTAGTATTATTTTTCATTTGAACCTACATGTGGCATCCAGTTTATCTTATGTGTAGCCCTACAGTAGAAAGTGTTAAAAAGTGGGTAGAATATTGCTTGATAAGTTTAAATCTAATAAAAGGAGCTATACTTCAGAATCTATAGAAGAGTAATTGATGTATCCATTAATTCATTCTGCACTTATTGAGTGTTCTGTGTCAGGGCTGCAGGAAAGATACAGTTCCTGTTGTGGAAAATTTTCATTCCAAAAGGAAGATAATATATACAGCAGATTCAAATAATAATAAAACTGTACAGGAAAAAAAGATAAAAATCATCATCGATACAAAGGGCTGTATGACTTTAAAAGGTCAAGAGATTTCTTTGGCCAAACATAGTGGCTCACATCTGTAATCCCAACACTTTGAGAGGCCAAGGTGAGAAGACTGCTTGAGCCCAGGAGTTCAAGACCAGCCTGGGCAACATAGTAAGAACCTCATCTCTACAAAAAATAAATTATCCAGGCATTTTAGCATGCGCCTGTGGTCTCAGCTACTCAGGAGGCTGAGGTGGGAGGCACACTTGAGCCCAGGAGGTAAAGGCTGCAGTGAGTTGTGATGGTGCCTGCCATTACACTCCAGCCTGGACAACAGAGAGAGACCCTGTCTCAAAAACAAACAAACAAAAAAACATTTCTTTCAATTAGCCTAGACCTAAAGTATAGGTAGGATTTTTCCTGAAGGGAATGAAATGGGAAAATATTCCAGACAGAGGGAACAGCATGAGCAAATATTTAGGATAGAAAAGTTCAGGGCAGATTTGAAAATAGTGACCCAGGCATATCTGGAGTTGTTTCCTCAGGGGAGGTTTAAGCAACTGAACTGGAGAGGCAAATTGGGGTTAATAGGTGGAATGTTCTAATCATCACATTAAAAGGATTGGGGTTCATGTAAGAGGTAGTTGGGAGCTATTGAAGTTTTTGAGTACAAAAATGAGTTACCAAATCGCAAGCATGGTAGGATGTTGACTAATAGTGGAATGTGTGCTATGGTGGCAGAAAGAATATTTTGAACGTTATCCTAAGAGTACAGATAACCTAGGCAGATTGATTAAAGAAACATGACAGGTCAATCAATAGATTTGGTTGAGGGTAGGAGAGGAGAGGGAGGAGTAAAGATGACTCATGGTTTAAATCTGATTCACAAAGGGAATAATTACATCATTATCAAGAAGGGCCAGGAGGAAGAGAAATTTGGAGATCAGATAATATGAAGTCTTGAATGTTTGATTGGGTTGATAATACTAATAATTATTGAGCACTTAACTATTTGCCAGGCACTATTCTATATATTTTACATGCATGGCCTCATTTATTCCTCAGAGCAGCCTCAGAGCTTTTAAACAACCTGCCCAAGTTTGCACTGCCTGTCAGGGGTGAAGTCAGGATCCAGCCCCCAGAGGTGTAATTGCAGCGCCCAATTTATTGAATGCGTGTATTGAATGGTGTTGGGCTTGGAGGCAGGGCTAAACGAGGAGGAAAGACAGATGAAATCAAAGGCGAATGTTGATCAAGAAGGTTTGGTGAATTCCCAAGAAAGATCACAGAGAACCAAAGACTTTCAGAAAACTGAAGGTGAGTGTTTCAGAAAAGTCAAGAGTAGGAGAGGATCTAAGAAAAGGCATTTGGATTTAGTGGTCAAAAGACCCTAAAAGCAGTTTTGGAAAAGTGGTAAAGGTCGAAGTCCATTGGCATGGGATGGAGGAATAAGTAATTTATGAGGAAGTGGAGGCAGCAGAGATAGATTTGGGGGAAGTCTGTAAGTGGGGAAGGAAGAGGGAAATAGCTCTGCAGCACCAGAGGGTAGGACTGCTGAGAAGCACTTTCTAATACTGAGGGACACTCACTTGGTTGCCTGTCAGAAGGGAGGAGAAGCAAGTAGCGAGGGGCAGATTCAAGATGTAGGAGAGACCAGGCTTCTTCCAGAGGAAGGAGAAAATGATGAGATCCAATACACAGATAAGAGGCTTGAGACCTATATGTGAGGACCCTTTCTCCTAAACCAAGAGGACGTCATAAAGAGTGAGGCAAGATGTGTGCTGGAGTGGGAACAGGAGTGGTAGGTGGAGCAGAGAAGACCAAAGGCACTCGCTTATATTTGATGATCTTGATTTTCTCAGTCAATTGGCAGGTGAAATAATTAGTGAGTGAGAGAGGTTCTGTTTTGTGGCACTGGAGAAGATTTGAAGCGGGAATGCAGTGAACAGTCAAAGATAATAAAAAAGGTTGTAACACAGTATTGTGGTTCAAACTAAGTTTAAGTATTACGAATTTTTAGTATAACTAGTTACCAAGTTATGAGATTTTCTTTTGCAATCGTTAGCACTCTGGCAATAGACAGCCCAGATGGCAGGACTTATAAAGGGGGAAGAAGTGGAAGATGCTAGGGAACCCATTTTAGAAATAACTAAATGCTCAGGAGGGTCAGGAATGGTTTTTTTTTTTTTTTTTTTAATCCTACGTGCCAGTTGGTATGATTGCAGGCTATCCTCTGTGGACATCACAAAACAGTTGGAGTTGAACAGAGAGCTAAGTGAAAAGGCAGAGGAATGGGAGAGGGAGAAGTAGTGGGGGTTAAGAGGGATGCACATTAAGGGGCTCAGTGAAAGGGAAATGTAGCCAGGGAAATGCAGTTGAAATACCGTGTTTGAAAAATTAGAAGTGACAGAGGTCATGAATGGCACTCCCACTCCCTGACTATGCACTGACAAGAGGATGTTAGAAATAGAAATAAGAAAAGTATTTAAGTGATCAAGAACTCTGGCAGTGGCTGGGGTAGAGAGAAGGGGCTGCAATCAGGTACAAATTCAGAAACAATTATCAAATAATGCCCCCAAAATAGATCAAAAACCATAAAAAGGAGGAATTGTTATAAATGATGGAGACTGGAAAAAGCATGTAGTTATTGAGTTATAGCATTAATTAATTTTTTTAAAAAAATTGACATTTTATGTAATGTGGCATGTTAGAGGAATGTTGATAGGGCAACTTAATTTATTAGGAAATATATGTGAAATCTAATATTAAATGTAAATTGCAATTCAGTTTAACATATTTTGAATGTATTGAGTGTTGTAGTTCAACTTAACATTTTTTTTAATGCTGGGTCCTTTATTATTGAGCTTTTATGTCTATTTTAGCCAGGTAGTATTAATGTGTTCATAAAATTCAGAAAGGACAAAATAATATTTCTGTCACTTGAATATTAACTATTTCTGAAAATATTTGTATAAGATATTTAAAACGTTCATGCCAGGCGTAGTGGCTCCGCCTGTAATCTCAGCACTTTGGGAGGCTGAGGCAGGTGGATCATTTGAGGTCAGGAGTTCGAGACCAGCCTGACCAACATGGTGAAACCCCATCTCTACTAAAAATACAAAAATTAGGGGGGGCATGGTGGCGAGCACCTGTAATCCCAGCTACTCAGGAGGCTAAGACAGGAGAATCACTTGAACCTGGGAGGTGGAGATTGCAGTGAGCCGAGATCACGCCACTGCACTCCAGCCTGGGTGACAGAGCAAGATTCCATCCCCCCCCCAAAAAAAAAAATTCACACAGAATAGAGTCAGCACTGTGGTTCCACAATTCCTCTATATAGCAGCGAGTTCCAGAATAGACAGGAGAAATTCCGATTCCAGGTTCTGTTCTGCCACTACCTTTCCATGTAAATTTGAACAGGTTATTTTCTAGTACCAAGTTTACTCATCAATAAAATAGATATTATGATGTATAATTGTGATTTTCTACCTCAAGCAGCTATTTAAAGTGTTAAGCTTAAGCCAGTAATCCCAGCACTTTGGGAGGCCGAGGTGGGCGGATCACCTGAGGTCAGGAGTTCGAGACCAGCCTGGCCAATATGGTAAAACCCCATCTCTACTAAAACCACAAAAATTAGCCAGTCATGGTGGCGGGCGCCTGTAATTCCAGCTACTCGGGAGGCTGAGGAAGGAGAATCGCTTGAACCCAGGAGGCGGAGGTTGCAGTGAGCCAAGATTGTGCCACAGCACTCCAGCCTGGGTGACAGAGCAAGACTCCATCTCAAAAATAAATAAATAAATAATAAAGTGTTAAGCAAGAGTTAAAGTGATTTTTTAAAATAAAAATGGTATGGAAATATATGGAACTAAGTTATGTTACTAGAAAATCAAATTAGAATTTGTAAATCTAGAATCAAAAAAGTATAGACAATTTCAGTTGAAATAAGTTTGGGGTTAAATCAACTCCTTTTGTTTTAAAAGGCTGATTTTAGTTACTGATAGTTTATCATTATGTATGATGATAGTTTTAGGATGGCAAATCTATTTTCATAAACACAGATTATTTAGTCAGACAATGAAAATGTTTTTATTAGCAGGTATAGCAAAGAAAAGCAGATGTCTTATAATAAATAGGACCTTGTGTTCTAAATTCAGAATTATGAGTGATCTATATAAAATTGGGGAAAAATTACAGGGGAAGGGGATACCTCATGCCTACAAGCCCTCACTGTTTCTGAATGTCATGTTCCTTCTACTACTAGAAGTGATGGTCTGGACTATGTTGTAATTTTTTACAACTCATGATGTGAAAAAAATATCATGTAAATATATTTCTGCTATTTTTCTTAAAATGTATAAAATCTATGGATTAGGATTTATGTTCCTAAAAATAACACCCTGGTATTCTACACCAAAGAAGAAATTATAAGGGGAAGGTGATAATTAACAAATATTTAGAAGACTTTATGGAAAAACTGATTTTGTGTTACCTATAAAAAAAAATAAAAATAAAAAGCAACCCCCCCAAAATGCTGTTGATGTTCATGGAGAAAAATAACTGTGTAAACACATTCAGTTTTATAAGAATAAAATGCAGAAATAGTAAGTTGAAACAATTTTCATTAGAGTGGATTCTGATCCCTTAAGAACTTGGGCAGAGACTTAGGGCACGTATCCTCCCCAGAAGTGGAGCTACGTGCGCTGGGTGATGTCACCAGCGACTAGTAACCACCGCAGTGTAAACAAACATCAGCAGGAAATACATGTGGGTAGGGCAAGGGTCTAGAGGCATGCTTTCCTTCTAGAAAAGTCTCACTCCTTTCAAGGCTAGTGTTTTTGTTTCGTTTTGTTTTGTTTTAAGGAAGAAAGGGGACGCAACATAACTCTTGCCTTCTGCTACAGAAACCTTTAGTTTCGTGGGCAGTGTCTTTCCTTGACAAATGGAATCCTTGCTGGCAGTCTCTGTAATGTTGAGAAGTACAGGACTCTTGGCTCTTGCTGCAGTTATTGGTTGCTTGCCCCAGACTGAAAATCTTGTCTGTGGAACTGCTCAGAGGAAAGTTTCAAGTTACCAGAACTAGGCAAGCCCACTGAGGAGCAGGAGCAGGAGGAGAGAAGGAGGAGGAGGAAGAGGAGGAGGAGGGACCATTGAGGAGCAGAAGGAGTAGGGTGCGGGGGAGGAGGAGGAGCGCCTTTAGTGCTGCAGCAGCTGCTGCTCTGATTGGCCCGGTGGTTCAGCTGCTTCCCTGGAACAAAAGGTCAAAGTGGACTGCAGTGTAAATGTAGAGAAGCAGCCGATAAAATAGCATTGCCTGAAGAAGTTTGGAGGCTGAGAGCAGCAGTAGACTGGCCAACTGCAGAGCAAGTTGTTTCTCCAGCCGTGCGGTGCAGCCTCATGCCCCCAACCCAGCTTAGCCACTGTAAGAAGACGTTCACTGTACAGACGACCAAACTTGCCGTGGAAGAGACAGTTGTGAGATTCCCTTGCAAATTTACATACGAGAATGGCTTGTGAAATCATGCCTCTGCAAAGGTAGTATTTTCCTATTTTATTTTATTCTGCTATGTATTTTTTGAGTTGTATCAAGCCATATAACTTTGCCAGTACTTGGCATCTTTTAGTAACATGCTGCAAAGTGTGTAGAGTCCGTTGTACATATGGTTCCTCCCTAAGAACAGAAAAAATTAAATATTATACTGCTCTTTTACTGACATTTTGCCCAACTTATCTTTTTCACTTGATTGTTGTATTTAGTTATATCCTTCTCTGAATGGAAATGAATATAAGAAAATACCTTTGAAATCTGAAGAAAAACATGGACTGAGAAGTATAATGAGCGAGTTTATAATAAAAACTGAATCCGCTTCTTAGCAGTGTTCCTGCTAAGGCTATTTTAAAGGATGTTGATAGGCTGAAGACCTTTTAAAATGCATCACAAGATTCTTCTCTTCTGGAGTTCAGATCTAGGCAAGGATTTTCCATGAATAAGTACATCATAATATGTGAGAATAAATGTTAAGGATAACATTTCCCCTTCAATAATTCCAGACAGATTTATTACACAAATAGCATTTTTTAAAACTGCTTAGTAAGAATGATTGAGTGCAAGACTGTTTTTGTTCCTTCGTGATTATAATATAGATTGTGGGTCTGGGGGGAGGCGAAGGAGTTATACCAAAGCAGAGAAAGGTAAATTTAAACAAAGGGTCTTATGAAAAAGAACACTGTTGTGAACTAAGAAGTGAAGAATGTAGGCATGGAGAGGGCCTCAGGGCTGCCCAAGGTCACATTTTAGGATTTTAAACATTACCTTTGCTAATCATATTGTCCTATTTCAACTTCAACTGCTTTACATGCAGTGGCATTTCATTCCATAGAAATGTTTCATTTAGGAAAACTATAGAAGGTTTTATTAGTAAAAAAAAAATTTTAAATCAAATAGTAAATGTGGTTTATTTAAGGATAAAAAAAACTAGACAAAAACTAATTTCATTTTTAAAAACCATGCCACAAATATTTCAGTGAATGTTTTTGTTTTAGCAATGAAAAATAAGCTTTAAAACATTGCTTATTTGCAAAATGGTTTCTACAGATACTTACAGTGAGATAAAACAGTATAGTCATTTTTCCTTCACTGTACTAACAAGGACACTGTCATGGGAACCTGATGGGGGTGTCCAAAGAGTTCCTTTTGTAAAAATTAAGAATCCAAGGGAGCAGAAAGTGGTTTACAAATATATCTAAAATTTTTCTACGTGAACTCAGTGAAAATGTCCACATGCTTAAAGCTTGTGAGAGACTAAAACACTTTGTGGAGTCTTGATTTGGTTTCCAACTTTAAAGTTGGAGACATTTTTCCCCTTATAATGACATCAGTTCTTAAGGGTTTTAAGCGAATTGTATTCTAGATAAGAATATTGGCTACTACTGAACTCTAATAGCCAGCCATGTGATGCTCTAATAATTGTTAAGAAGAAAATAGATCTTTATACTGTTAAAACATTGTTTAGGCAATCAAAACGATTAAAGCTAAAATAAAACCATCATTATTTCCTGTAAATTATTTTGTATTTTTAGTCATGATTAATGAACCTAGTAGGAATAAATGCAGGAATAATTTGAATTTGCATTCAAGAATGTTGAGTTGCTACTTTTGTTTCTTTGCATTACCATTCTGAAGAGCGCTGTTACGTGCATTCACTGCCGCAATGTTTACCCAGCTCTTAGAGTTTAATTTGACTGATTTCCCTGCAATCTTTACTGCCAGCCTGTACCTACCTTTGGTTATAAACCTCCTGAAGGTAAAGACCAGGTTTGTGCGGTTGTCTTTGTTAAGCGTGCCTTGTGAATTTAAGCATTTGTGTAGAAAACTTTCCCGCCCTTACGTGTAATTGTTTCTTCAAATCCCAGTTTGGTATCTTTGGCTATTGATTTCTGTGACTCTCGTGGTAATGATGACTATTGCGGACTCTCCCCACCGTTATGGGCCTGAAGCAGGAAGGTTCCAGAGCCTTAGCAGTATTCTTGGAAGGAGTGCTTTGTTCCATTCTGTTTAAGAGCACCAAGGGATAGAAACTACATTGAAATTGGATGTGTAAAAGAATAGCTTTAAATAGCAGCTAAAGAAATTCATGCTCACTGTTTGTATTTAGCAGAGAGTTCAATGCTTCTCATACTTTGAGTGCATGAGAATTACCTAAGGAACTTATTTTTCAAATCAAATCCTTCCTGTTGCCCTCCTTCCCTAGACTCACTGCATCCAAATCTGGAGGTAGCAGAGAGAGCATCTGCATTTTAACAAGCTTCCTAAATCTAATGCAGATGGTCCACTCGTAGAGAAACACTGATCTAAATTCTAGTTAATGATTATAGCGCTTATAAAGCTAGTGACAGCTGGCATATATAGGAATCTAGCATTATACTACTCAACATCTCCAAATAGCATATTTAATATCTGACCTTATGTGAGGATTTTTTCATAATTGATGCTTTCATTTCCTAAATTGTCAGTTTTACCTATTAAAACAAAACATACTTAGAGTGTTGTTTAATATTTTCTCTTTGACTGAACACTACTCTGTACTGCCAGTTATCCTAAGGTAATTAAGACACAGCTCTCCTTCAAAGAGGTCACATGCTAGTTAGGATGCAGACACATTACCAGACAATTACAGTACCATGTGGTGAATTCAGTAATACACAGTATGATTAGCATAGTAATAATAGAGATGTGCCTAGATGGATAATATTATCCTGTGTATTATTTAACCCCGTGTAAGTGTGTGATTTTATTAGGGGCATGTTTGTACCCTAATGTCTACTTAACTTACAGTTTTCATAAATGCCTCTTTAGCCTTTCTTAGCGTATTGTGAGAGTGTATAGAAGATACGTTGTTACTGCTAATCTGTAGCCAAGATGAGAATGACAGATAAGGTCAAAAACTAAAAATGAAATAAAATGTGTCTTGCTATCTGTTTATTACTGAATGTTATTGGCAGAGTTTCCAGGATGGAGTTGGCTGTTTAGAAACTCATGATCTTTAGAAAAAACATGGCAGAGGCTGAATGTTTAAATTACAACCTTCTGTAAAGTCCTCAGTTCTTAATGATTCACTACATGGCTTAAAGACAGGATCTTATTAACTATCTCTATTGAGATAATTAAACAGTCCCAGTTATTTTTTAAAATACTAAAATATTTACATACTACTTATAGCTAATAATGAAACTCAACATAGTGTATCAACTTATATGGATATTCTTAGCATCGGAAAAAGTTCCTTGAGAAAAATAAAATAATATCAGAAATAAAGGGAGGGAGAAACTATATTAAACTAAGAATTGAAATATAAGTTTTCTCAGGTGACTAAATTTACCTTCTGTCACTAATGAGATAATCTGTTTTGTCAGATCTCAGGCCTAGTTTGTACCACAGGCTCTTTGTACAATTCATATTTCATTGAGTTTTCTTCCCCTTAGGTATTGTGGGGATGTAGGTAAGGATCTCTATTTTATGTATAGAAAGACTCAAGCAGGCTAAGATACAAAATTTTAACTCTGAGTCATAGCTATGACAAAACTCTCAACTTTCATTGCAGTATTTTAATTTGCTAGACTAACTTTCCAGTAAACTAACTGAATTTATATCCACAAGGAATAATGATGGCAGATGAGATGAAGTTATGAACCTGTGAGTGCTGATGATTGATGTGGATTCCTTTGATTTCAGTGCATTGACATCTGCTTTCATGTGTTGGCATCCTGTTCTTTCCTGGGTTTGTCTACCAAAGTGAGAAGCTGAAATCAATCATGTCTATGTAATTATTTTTTTCATGTAGCAAATAATGATATCCAGTGTATATTATTGAATATTTGTTTTATGATGGTGAAGCACATCATAATTCCAAATTGCAGTGGCTCTTCTTCAAAAAAGACTTAAAGACGATTAATAAACATGTATTAGTGACCCAATATCTAAAAGTTTCACTGAAGCTTCTTATCAGTAGAATTCATCAGTTCTTCCTAAGCATCGCTCTTTAGAATATCCTTTTGCCAACGTAAACGTTGATAACATGGGGATGGTATGGGAGTTCACCAGGGAAGAACCCAGGTAATGTTGGGCCAGCTTGTGAGTTTCTGTGTGGTGTTAGAGAGCCCTCTGCTGCTCGTGGAGATGACACCTTTCAGTTAATTTATCTAGAAGTCTCTGTTTTTCCTAACTTGTTGGCACTCTGGTAGCACTCCTGGCACTGCCCTCTCCCTCCACAAACACAGTCTGGGAGGGAGTTAAAAGCTGCCTCACTTTAAATCTGGGCCAGTGCCTATGGGTTGTGTGTCTGAATTTATGCTTTATCACTGTCAGTGAGAACAAATAAGATCTCTGTGGGCTCTGTTCTCACATGATGGTTTAATTACCCATGGAGCCCAAATATTTGCTAATTACTCCAAATAAAGAAGATAACATGAACTAAGGTGAGGATATTTTCAAATTTTAGGATCATCCTGTCTAAACCACTGAAAAAGTAAAGATGTTAACTATTCAGTACAAACCAGTGGTAAACTTGCCATCAGAAAACATATATAGACACTGACAGCTAGCTGGCCATATATGAATTTGAGCAGGTCATTTTCATTGTCTGTAAGAGATGATACCACCCAAGGTACTTATTTTATGAGGGAGATTTTGGAGTTAAAGAATGTGATAGGACTAGGCACAGTGGTTCATGTCTGTAATCCCAGCACTCTGGAAGGCCAAGTCCGGGGGGGATCACTGGAGGTCAGGAGTTTGAGACCAGCCTGGCCAACATGGTGAAATCCGTCTCTACTAAAAATACAAAAAGAAAAACAAAAAAAAAAATTATCTGGGCGTGCTGGCATGCTCCTGTAATCCCAGCTACTTGGGAGGCTGAGGCACAAGAATCACCTGAACCCTGGAGTTAGAGGTTGCAGTGAGCTGAGTTCATGCCACTGCACTCCAGTCTGTGCGACAGTGGAAGACTCTGTCTCAAGAAAAAGAAAAAGTGATAGTTTTGGTTTTGTGGGTTTTGTTTTGTTTGTTTTGTAAATGATGAAACTACTCAGATGTAAAGGGTATGTTGCTTTTCTTTTAGTTTTGTCTTCTTATGCTTGCAATACAGTTTCAATTCCATCAATGCAAAAGTGCTTAGCACAGTTCAGGTAGTGCTATATCATTGCAGTGCATTTCATCGCATCAATATTGGAAGATGACCTCTGGAATGGTTTGCAGGAAGTACTGTTGAAAATAGAATTGAACCAAATTTCTTGAAACTCTCAAAGCTTTCACCCTATTTTTTCCTATGAAACTTACATTTGTCTGTGGTGCAGAATGGATTCCCAATGGAATAGTATGTTCTGTATTAAACATTTTTAATGCACTATTTATTCTTACCTTAAGAAGAACTAGAAATAACTTTTTTTTTTTTTTGAGACAGAGTCTTGCTCTGTCCCCTAGGCTGGAGTGCAGTGGCACGATCTTGGCTCATTGCAACCTCTGCCTCCTGGGTTCAAGCAATTCCCCTGGCTCACCCTCCTGAGTAGCTGGGAGTACAGGCATGCACCACCATGCCCAGCTAATTTTTGTATTTTTCGTAGAGACGAGGTTTCACCATGTTGGCCAGGCTAGTCTCAAACTCCTGACCTCAAGTGATCTACCCGCCTCAGCCTCCCAAAATGCTGGGATTACAGGCATGAGCCACCATGCTTGGCTATAGAAATAATTTTTTAACAGCTTTATTGAGATATAATTCACATATCATACAAATATGCAATTCAATAGTTTTGAGTATATTCACAGAGTTGTACAGTTTGCATGTAATCATATCATCAGTTTGCATGTAATCATATCATAGGTAATCTTTTGTGAGTAGTTTCTTCCCCTTGGTATAATGTTTTCAAGATTCATCCATGTTGTGGCATGTATCAATACTTCATTCCTTTTTATGGCTGAATAATATTATGATATATGGATGTAGCAAATTTCGTTTATCCATTCATCAGTTGATGGACATTTGGGTTATTTCCACCTTTTGGCTGTTATGAATAATGCTGCTATTAACATATGCAAAAGTAACTTTTGAGAATTATGAAAATATAGACTCTATTTTAGAGCCAAACGGATCCCTAAAGATAATCTAAATTATAGCTTCCATTTTCCAGATGACTGAACTCAAACACAGGGAAACAAAATGACTTGTTCAGTGACATATGTAGAAACAAATGGAAAACACTCTACACACATGTCTAAAGAATAGCCATTTGTATACGAAGTTGATGATCATGGCATGTATTTGGGATTAATAGTGGAGTTTTCCCCCATTAGAAGCTTAGTAAAGGGAAGAGTCTATTGTCATTCAAAAGATAAAAACTAGCTAACTGGCAGAGGAAACTGAACTCCTGACCTTCCTCCCATTAGCATTGAGCTCTAATATATAGACACTTACTGCACTACAGATTAAAAGTGACTCGGGACAGGGCAGCTTAAGTTGTTTTTATGTTAGGCACGTAGCAGGTACTCAGTAAATACTTGCTGAATTGGAGACTACAGAGAAATTTAATGGAAGCATATCAGAACACTATTGTCGACATAATTTCTAAAGCTTTCCATATAAATTGCTAGGAATATTCTTATACTAAAAAATTGCAAGTAATTTACTCACCCTTAGTTATTATATAAGCATTCCTGTAGTGCAAAGAAAAAACAATTTGGAACACTACTTCTGTTTACATTGCGGAGTATTTGATATTTACCTTGAGAAAGAGGAAATAGTTTTTAGTTTATTTCCCAGAGTTACTGTATTCATTAATGCAGTTTAAGGAAAATGAAGTTCCTATTTTATATGTACATTGAAATAGGAAGGTTTCCTCTTCTGCTTCTTTTTTCTTATATAATGATAGAGAGGATAAAAGACTATTTTGTAATTATCTGGAATTAATTCTACTTTGGTTTTTTTAAGATAAAGATTTATTCAAAAAAGTTGAATTTACCTTTCTTTTTTTTTTTTAGAAAAAGAACTTGGATTCTCTTATTCCTAGTACAGATAGCAACTATTAATATTTTGTATTTGGAGGAATGTTTTGTCATAGACACTGAGTAGTTTATACACTAGGGATAAACATACATCTGTCAATGGAAAATGTTAAGAGCAATGTTACATTCAGCCTTCTTTAATTTTTCTAAATAAACGTAGTTCAAGATTGAATTTCTAATAAATATTTTAAAGTTTTCAGATTATAATAAACATTTTCAGGTCACACAATATCTTAGCTGATAGAGATACACTGAAGGAAATTATGACAAGTCCATTTTTACACATAAAAATGGCAGATGAACTTTGTTTTGACCAAGTACACATGAGTACACTTTAAAAATTGTAAATGAATCTTTTGATCTATGTCCTTTTCTTGCAAAGAGATTTGTCTGTATTTCTAAATTTAAAATCCCTTTCAAATTTTAAACCATCATTTTAAGATAAGCTCTGAAATAAATTTGACTTCTGATATCAAGTATAGACTTAGAATATTGTTGCTAAACAAATAACGGACTCCAGAACCAAAGTATAGTACATTATAACCCTTGTGCAAATTATCCCAAAGCCAGATATGGAAATTGATTTTAGTTTTTGCATGAGAAAAGACATGTTAATGGGAAATAGTGGGGCCAGGGGTGGTAAAAATAAGATAGGAGAAGCCTCGGAAGTTGCTCTTTAAAATTAAGGTGCCTAAGTAACAAAGTGAAAATAATGAGGTGGGGGGGTGGTTTAAGACATATGTTTTATAATACCTTTAAAGACCAAGCTCAGGAAAACATGGTATCTTCTCATCAAATCTAAGAATAAAACTCAGGGAAGCTGGGTGCGGTGGCACACACCTGTAATCCCAGTGCTTTGGTAGGCAGAGGCAGGAGGATCGCTGGAAACCAGGAGTTGGAGACCAGCCTGAGCAACATAGTGAGACTCTGTCTCTACAAAATTTTTTTTAAAAATTATCTGTGCATGGTGGCATATGCCTGTAGTCCTACCTACAAGCTGAGGTAGGAGGGTCACTCTAGCCCAGGAGTTTGAGGCTGCAGTGAGGTATGATCATGCCACTGTACTCCAGCCTAGATGACAGATTAAGACCCTGTCACACTCCCCCCAAAAAAAAGACTTCAGAAAACTTGAACTTACTAGAAATAAAAATAAAGAATTGAACTGCTTTACTCAGATCATATTAAAGGAATGGAACTGAAAGGCTAGAGAAAAAAATTAAGCGTTTAGAAAAAAACATAATAGATACCAGTATTTTGCAGTCAGCAAAATGATTATAAAAAGAAATAATTTCGCTGTCTAGGTTAAAATAACTCTTGAAACTAAAATTAGAAACTAAATGCTGGCCTGAGTAGACCATTGATACCCTGTGTTTTATTTTTATAAGTGACTTTCCTCTTTTTCAACTCCTTGATTTGATAGAAACCCAAAAGCCTGCCTGTTTCTCCAGTGTCAGCTTTCTGGCAGGTCACTGCTGCGCCCCTGGTGCTGAACTCCCTCAATTGCCACACCTGCCGAGTTATTAATTCTCCCATGCTTTCCAAGCACATTCTCTCTTCTCTCTCTCTCTGTCTCTCTCATAGTTCTCCTCCTGTGCATTATCTTTCTCCCAAAAAAATGCCTACGTGACCCTCAAAATTCACTCCCTGTGTGGCTTATCTAACTGAGCCTCAGCTAATCTGCCAGACTGCATAGTGCTTCAGAGTGGAAGGGCTGGAGCTCTGACTTCAGACTTGGATTGGAACCTCAGCCGTTGACTGCCTCTATGGCCTTCAGCCTGTTAATTAACCTTTCTAAAACTTGTTCTTCTTATCTGAAAAATCTGGTTAGTAATTCCTTCCTCCATGATGTCTTTGAGGATTGAATGAGATAATGCACGTAAACGCTTTGTACAAAGCCTGGCTTTTTATGGTGAGCTCTCAATCAATGGTAGTTATGTATCCTTTTTTTATAATAATCAAATTTCAGGTTTCCATTTCTCTGCTAGCCTGTAAATTCCGTGAAAGTTGGGATTGTGTTTTCTTAGCCTGTGTATCGATCATGGATTCTAATACACTCAGAAAATGTTCTCATATGAGCACCTGCCCGTGGTTGTGGAAGCGCCCAAAGTCTAGGTGTAGGTTGACATCAAACCTTCATTCACTTTCCAGTTGCTGCTCATCATCCTAAAAAGCAGCGGAAAGTCAAGATGATGTCAGAAACAAGCCTTGACCCATTTTTCTGTGCACAGTCCTCCTCTGGCTGAGGTGAGGGGTGTTCGGGAGAGGATGACAGGATAATTTGCATGCCTTCTGCACATCTTTGTCTCAAGAATTCCACATTCAGAGTTAACAGTTTGGGAAATTATGTGTCTGTTAAAACTGTGTTAACAAACCCTTAATAAATTTGCAATAAGGTAATAATTGAAAGAAGTTAGCAAAAACAATTTTCTTTTTCCTTCTTTCCTTCTACAGGTATCCCCATATTGTTTTGATTTTGTTTCAGTGACTAAAGATTTGAAAATACTTTATTTACTAATGTTATAAAAATATTTTCTCATCAACTAATTTCATCCCCCCAAAGAACGTTACTGTATTTTACGTTCTAAATTACTGCCTCCCTAAGACAATGTTTTTATGTTTATAATAATGATAAACATCACTTTTCTGAACAAGATCTTAAAGACAAATGAAAGCTTCCAGCTGCCCAAAATTTCTTCAAACCTCAAACAATCTTTGTGTTTGGCGTGAAGTGAAATAATTTTTTTTCCCCTACTCTCAAGCCAGAACAAACAGATATAGTGTGTGGCAAGGCCATACTCAAACATTACCTTGCCCGAACATATCATTTTCTGGGTTCTCTGTATACCACAAAGAGTACAGTGTTAAAATTATGGGCATAATGGCAAAGCTCCCACCTCTTATTGTGCAGTTGGAAAAAAGAAATGATTTTCTTTAAGTAAGGATGGGAGAAAACCCATGGCACAGCTGAAGATTCATTAAGTTTTGAATAGATGGGAAAAAGAAAATTTAAAATAATCAATGTACAGATATCAGAGAATGCTCCTAGGCAAAATTAGTTTTACAAATTATAAACAGTATGTTTTCAAAATATTTAATCAAACACTACTGCAAGCACTCAGCAAAATCTTGATGATAGTGATTTTATTCAAGAGCCATTTACTAAGCACATGCAGTGTTCTTGGTACCTAGCTAGGTGCTGTTGTTACAAAGATAACAACAAATCTGGAAATGAGACAAGCCTCTGAGCTCATGAATTTCAGTGTTATGTGCTAAGCACTCGGTTATAGCTATGAACAAAGTGTCTTGAAGCCTGGAGGAAGAAGCAACTCCCTCTCCAGGGTGCTAGAGATGGCTTCCCAGATTAGATGACACTTGAACTGAGAGATGAAGTATTTACCAGGCAGAGAGAGGTGGAGAAAGGATTTAAGGTAGAAAGAACAACATGTACAAATGGAAAGAGTTGCAAAAGTGCAATGAGGTTTGTAGAGATATGTTGGGTTGCAATTGGGAGGGACTTCATGTGCCAGATTTAGGCATTTGGATTTTTATCCCAAATGCAGTGGGGAAGTAGGAGAGGCTAAGGACGAACTAGTGTGGAAAACAAGGAAATAGTATTGCCCCTGTGAAAGACTAATACAGTGGAAATGGAAAGGAGAGATCTGACTCAAGAGACACATCCTTTTTTTGAGACATAATCCGTACAATTTGGTAATTGATCAAATATGGAGGTAAGAGATTGTCTTAGTCCATTTTGTGCCACTAAAACAGAATACCATGGGCTGGATAATTTATAATGAACAGAGACTTATTTCTTACAGTTCTGGAGGCTGGGAAGTCCAAGCTCAAAGGTCTCATATCTGACAAGGGCCTTCTAGCTCTGTCATCCTGTGGCAGAAGGCAGAAGGGCAACACAGTGAACTCAATGAGCAGGGGGGAGAGTGTCAAACTCATCCTTTTACCAGGAACCTACTCCCATACTAACCAACCCACTCCCACAATAACAGCATTAATCCATTCTTGAGGGCAGAGCCCTTATTAAGTAATCACCTCTTAAAGGTTCCACCTCTCAACACTGTTTCATTGGGAATTAAGTTTCTAACACATAAACTTTGGGAGACACATTTAAACTATAGCAGGGATAAAAGTCGTTAAGGAAAACAGTTGGCTTATAAACACAATGTAAATACTATAACAAGAATAAGATTCTATTCTGTGACTTCTACACATGTCTCAGCGAGGATTCCCTGAGAAGTGCACTGTCAGTCAATCAGCAGGCAGTCATGGTTCACTTTTCACCTTCTAGCTGTAGAAAGAGATGCAAAACAAATGGAAGGTAAAGCAACTCCTCTTCCCACCCCCCACTTAAGAACTCTGTTCCTTTTCCCCCCACATGCACATACCCCTACCTCCATGCAATTTCTTAGACATTGCAAGCTGTTAATCAGAAGGGCATTCAGAGCTGGCACTAGCTGAGTAGGTAGGATTGAAATGGAATGAGATGATCCTTAGTTTTCTGTAAGTATAATATTTCTTTGATTCTAGAAGACAGAATAGGTGATAAAGAATGCCACAGTCGTACAAATAAGGAAGAGCCATGGAGGCCATGTCCTATGCAAAATGATGTCCTTCACTGTCTCTCTGAGTCTCATTCTTGACACCGTCCTGTGGTGTAACTAGGGAAAGACTATTTAAGAGAGATTTGGAGATATTCTGTCAGCTCCTCCTGGCCTTCCACAACTACGTCATCATGCCCACTACTGGGCATATCCAGACCCATTTTCTCTCTGCTTTTCTTTACCATCTACACTCAGCAAAATCTGTACTTCTTTGGTCCAGAGCTGATTTTGGCAGTAGGACAGAGAAAGAAATAGTTTTTTCCCTTTGTCTTGTGAGAACATAGATCTTAATTCATCAGCATTCATTCAGTGTGCATTATATAGCAAGCAAGGGAGATGTGTATTTAGCATAGTGTTCTAGAACAGTATTTTTTAATTCTGTGGGTCATGACCTATTAGTGGTCATAAAGCCAATTTAGCAGGATGTGACCAATATTAATAACGAAATAGAAAATATCCCAGCAAACTAAGAATAATTTTTGTGAAATTTATATCTGATTTATATGTATGTATACTGTCGTGATATAAAATGTGTTTCTAACTGAATCATCATTAAAACTTTAAAAAAATATTGTATCTCGACTGCTTATGAGGATAGTTCACTTGAATGAGAGGTTAGATAGACTTTTGAATACAGGCCTGGAAACCAAATCCCCATGTCAGTATGGGAAATTGATTATAGTCTTAGCATTCCTGTAAATGAACTTTCAGAGCATAACCTTTGTGTAAGTAAGATTGAAGCACCTTTGTTAGGCATGTTTTTCTATCTGAATTTGATATGTTCCAGGCCTCTTCCCTAGCTTCAAATAGTTCCGTTGCTTGGGGCAGCATAACTCCAATCTTCACATGATATTCTGCCTGGGTGCATATCTGTCTCTGTGTCCAAATTTCCCCTTTTTATAAGGACATTAGTCATATTAGATTCAGGCCCATCTTAATGACTTTATTTTAATTTGATCATCTCTGTCAAGACCCTGTTTCTAAATAAGATAACTTTCTAAAGTATGAGGGATTATGGTTTCAGTGTATATTTTTGGGGTGACATAATTCAGCTGATAACAGTATATTTCAAATTTCCACTAAACAGACAAAAATTGGTAGAAATATTTTTCTATCATATTGGAATAAAATCTAAATCTTTGGAAGTCTTTTTGTCTATTTGTTTTGCCTTCAGAATAATACCTCTTACTGTTAGCTAAAAATTTCTGTTCTGTGAATACTAACAACTTCAGCTCTTTGCATTTAACCTTTGGTCTGGAAAATCTATTTGCCCTTGAACTGCAATAATTTGTATTTCTACTGGCTAAGAGTTGTGTTCTTAGGCACAAAGTGCAAATAATAAAACTATAAACAAAGCTGCCTGGGTTTACAAAAAAGAATTGTAAAATATCCCCCACCCGCAACAAATTACAGCTGCAAACAGTTATGAACTGATCCGAAAACTCTTACATTTGTTTTCCAGGAAAAAAAAAAAAAGCCCACCGGGACTTTTTTTTTTTTAATGTTCTTGATTGGGACCAAACCAAAAACCTAAGCAACAGAACAGTGGCTGCCACGTACCTCCCCAGTTGGCAAGGGGCATGGTTAACGACTGAGACTGTGGATAAATTGAAAATGCTCAAGTACATGTGTTGCACTTTATGTTTTGAGAACAAGGAAGGAAAGGAAAATGTGCTAACTTCACTTATCATTCTCTAAGAAAATTCCTCCCCTTACATTTGTAGCACATGTGGAAAATGCCTGAGTTCCTGAAAAAATGTTTACTTTATACTTTTCTTTTGTTTCTTTATACTTGTCCCTCACTTTCTCTTTTGCTCCTTGTTTTGTTTTTTAAGCCTCATGGATGGTTTTTCTAGTTTCTTCAATGAATGGGACCGAATTCTTAGCATTTACTTGTTTTTCTGTACTTTTCAGTATTCAAGGAACACTTACAAACTATTTCTTCTGTCTCAAACCACTTAGAAATATATTTAAAGTGTGTGGCTAAATATGCAAATTATGTTAATTTTCTGGTAGCCAGCCACATTAACCAATTAGAAAGTTGAAGTAATTGGAGAGTTAAAAAGGGAATGGAATGGAATGGTGGTTTGATCGAGTAATTGAAGATCCATTCTGGGTACTTGCCCTGGGAATTCTCCCAACATTATTTGGTTTTTCTTAGACATATACAACACTATGCCTTTCATGATTTCCTTTAGCTTGCTGTATAATTAAACTGATAGGCATTGCACTGCATTCTGTGGCTTCAGTTTAGAAATTAGGGTAACTCATGAAGAGATTATCAGTCTAGGTGTCATTTATTTATGTGCATTAACCAATGTCAAGCTGTATAAAAAATAAGTTAGACAGGACTCTGCTAAAACGTAGATAAAAATATCTAAGTTATTGGCATTCTTAGTTGTAGCTTCTTAGATTTAGACTGTTATTTAGGTCTATATGATAAATGTTCTTCCTACAAGCAGTTATTTTGAGAATATAGTACCATGTATCTGAGAACATTAAGCATAATCACATAAATGAGGTGATTGCCCAAATCTCTCAATGTATGTTTGATTTTTTTTTTTAAGTAAACTACTTATAATTGGCTGCTTAAGCTTGGTCATTATTGAGAGTCAGCAAATAGGAAATAATTAAAACACGGAGTTTTTACTGGTAACCAAGGAGGAAATCGAATGAATTCTAAGTTGTTTCAATTTGTCATTGGTTTAATTTCATGACACACACTTCCTTCTTCATTCACAGAACATGTGCTTATTTTTAAAAATTAAAAGTGAATCAGAATTAATTCTCAATTTCATCTTTAGGAAAAAATTATGACAAATTATGCTCAAGTTAGAGTTTAGGCAAAATCCTTTAGTATCATTGAACATGACAGATTGACACGAAAACAGAAATAGGTGTAAATGATCTTTGTTAAAGATGTTTTGGAGCCTGTAGTAATAGTACAATATCTTTGTACAGCTGTATAAAAATGGTAATTTTTTCAAATGTGCATTCTGGTTTGTGCATTTTGTGGAAAAGTTTATTTTGTTGATTTTATTTGGAAGAATTGTCCGTGGCCATTTTTCCTTAAAATTACCTTCGAAGTCAATGCATTAAATTTATTTCTAAAATTAGTTGGCTTAATCAATTTGAAATCAATGATTTAGTTGTCTCAAAATTTATGCCTTTGTTTAGATTGTATTACTAAATCCCAGAAAAGGGTACTTTTATGAAAGGGAAAATAGAAATAAGCTTTTAAAATAAAAATTGATTTATTTACCCTCATTTTCTTTCCAAATTATATTGTTTTTCTCAGGGACTGTGCATGGATTGCTCCACTGTTAACTGCTGATTGTTGACTAAATGTAATACTGACTCTGCTTTATTTTACTTAAATTTCAGTGCTTACATTTTCTTTTTTAGAACAAAAACTGGTCAAAATTCAGGGGCATAGCCAAATTAAGAATTTCTTATTTTGTCTTTCATTGATGAATTTACTTTGTGCAAATGCAGGCCAGATAAAATATTTGCTTATGATTAAAATCTTGTGTTTCTATCAAGAGACATTCTTGACATCGTGCCAGTATATTTTAATAAATTAATCACCTTATAAGTGCTGTCAGGCATAATGCATTATGGATGGACTTTGACTAAGGTGATGTAGAGTTGCCATAATCAGAAGCATGACAAGGAGCTTATCAAGTCCACGAGATCTTGTTGTGGCTGCTGGAATGCAGACTGGCCATCGAATGCATTTTCTTCACTAACCTAGTCATCTCGCTGTACTTTAGTAAGTTAAAAATCAAGGGAAAACAATAAGTAAGAAAAATGAACTAACATGTAATACAGTAATTTACACATCACTAGCTGCATCATCTGAATGAGTTATGTACTCACTCTGAGACTGCTTTTCTCACCAGAATTAAGGAGCAAGAAGCCAGAACCAGGGAAGTTTTGTGAGTATCTAATTGAGATAATTAATGTAGGACCTGTGGTAGGATCTGGCCCGCAGTCATAATTGATATGAAATTTGTGAGGGAGATGAAAGGAAAAAAGTATTGCTTCTGTTTGCTGCAGAGAAATTTAGCACACAGACACACACAAATAGCTAAGACACATAAACAGCTGTGTTCAGAGCCCTGAACCATTTAAATCATCTCTCAAAAGCACTTAAGAAAATCAAGCATATTGCTAATTGAATGCACATCAAAGAATGTTACAGTAACCATGTTAATTTTCCTTCAGTTTGCTACATGTTAGAGTAAAGGATCTGTTCTGGGCAAAGAAAGTATGTAGTACTAATTTTACAAAATATGGAGGCCTTTCCTAGAATAACAAAATCATTATAGGTTTTTAGTGGCAGGTTTTTTTGTTTGTTTGGCATGGTGTTTCTTTGGCATAATGATCAATTTCTTGATCAGGAAACCCAGTTCTAACATTTCTAAAATTGTTTTGTTTAGTGTTTTCTAGGAGTATTTGGAAGTCAAATGTGTAAGCGACTTCTGTCAGGTTGACTTAAAAGTAGTCACCTCCTATAATAGCGCTGTTTCAGGTGGTTTCTTCCTGGACACCTGGACATTTCCCAGGTGTTGTCCCCTCTTACTCTTCAACCCTGCAACCTAATTCTACAAGCTTTGCCCTCAGCCCATCCACATTACAGCCCATCACTTACCCCTCACCTGGGAAGAGTTAACACCATTAGTTATAAACATTAAGGTATTTGGCAACATGGGCATTAGAACAGCTGATCAGTGTTGAAATTGGAAACCCAAATCATGAGAGAATGAAAAACAGTGTGTCACATTTTATGTTCCATATTCCTTCTAAAATGTTAAGACCTATTCAACTTCCAGGACACGATTTTGTTTGCTTGTGTGTGTTTTACAGTATAACTCTGTAATAAGAGTTTATTGACTGCAAGTTTAATACTATCAGTCGAAGCAGACTTTTCTCTTTTCATGAATGATGCTTAAGAAAATTAAAAATAAGCAAAAAGAGAGAGAAAGAGAATGCTGCAGGTAATTAGTTGCTTTCCCAGATGCGGTAAGGTGGTGTACACCCCAGGTGATATCCAAGAGGAATCCTAGGGGTACAAAAGAAAATATTAGACTTTCTTTTTCATTTTATTTAATACTTTATCTTTCTACTTTTATCTGTTTAATGATGTACATAATATAGTTATATATTTAATCAGTTATATATTTGAGGGGAGTGGCCACTGAAAAGCAAGTTTTATGAGTGCATAATTTTAAAAGTTCAGAGATCACTCCAGTGGACCGCAAGGGGGAGGGATTCATTCTATACTTTGAGATCATTTATTAGGAAAAATAAAACATACTAAAGAAAGGAAAAGAAAATATAGCATATATGTTACATTTTAAAAATTAAATTTTTAGGCCAGGCATGGTGGCTCATGTTTGTAATCCTAGCACTTTGGGAGGCTGAGGTGGGAGGATCACTTGAGCCCAGGAGTTCAAGACCAGCATGGGCAACATAGTGAGACTCTGTCTCCACAAAAAATAAAAAACTAGCCTGACATGGTAGCACGTGCCTGTGGTCCCAGATACCCCAGAGGCTGACGTGGGAGGATCACTTGAGCCTGGGAGTTTGTGGCTACAGTGAACCATGATTGTACCAGTGCACTCTAGCCTGGCCAACAGAGTGAGACCATGTCTCTTAAAAAAAAAAAATTAACTTTCAATGTATTAAGCTTCATATTTTGTCTGTGTTGTTTGAGGAACTTAAACTTTTTAATGATTTCATTTGTGTCCTTTCATGTTATACACACTAGTTAATACTTAGTAGAGTAACTACAGAAGGACAAAGAGCCCGTGAGTATGGTGCTGTTTACTGATGTGCTCTGCATTGCTAGGGAATCATTCCTGAAGTGGCTCGTTCTTAACAGGAATGTTTTGTTGGTTGTTTCTTATTTTCATCATCATGTTAATGAGCTGCAGTCAGCTTTGTTGAGATAAATTAGTATGTAATCATTTTAAGGGTTTATGTGTAATATACGAATACTTGAATTGGGCCTCTAGAATAAGGCAGTAAAAAGCTTCCTCTTGAAAGTGTGATGTGAATTACTTCTGTCTTAGCTGATCTTGAAAGAAGCCTCACTTGATGGTATCCTGACAAGAAGTAATTGACCTTGGCTAGGTCCGAGGTGGATCATGTTTTACTAACCTTATTCCATCATGTGATTGGCTTTAATGTGCTAAATCAACATTTTTTACAGGTAGAACATTTTTAGTAAAATTGACATGTCATATTAACAGACATTATATTAATTCAAAATTTATTTTCCTTTTAGTTCACAGGAAGATGAAAGACCTCTGTCACCTTTCTATTTGAGGTATTTATTTGATTTTTGTTGGTCTACTACAGGGAATAAAGGAGGGTTAAGGCTTCTTTGGGTTTATTTGCTCATTTTAATCTCTTTCAATAGAACATTCATTACTGTGGCCAGACTAACTTGCTGGAGCTCTTCACCTTACTGTATTTTCCCCTTTGGTTCAAGAAATTTTTTTTTTAAATGTCTGATATAGTTGAAACAACTAAAATAAGACATTTTGTTTTAAATTCAAAAGTGCCAAGGTGATCATTTTAATTTAAAAACTGCCTGATGATTAGGCTGTAAGCAAAGTTAAAAATCTCTATTTTATACATATACATATGCATAGGTTAGTGGGGGCAAATGGGTACAAGACCCATTCACAGATAAAGCCTTGGGTTGTGTTACATCATTTTCTATGTCATAGCGGAGAAGGAAACTAAATATTCAGCAAGTTTATAGGGTTTAAGATGATTTTCTAAAACTTACAAACCCAGAGTAACAATGTTAAAGCAGGTAAATTAACAGAATTCAAGATCACCTCTCTCTGGTGATTGAATGCTGTACTGATAGGGTTTTCCAGTGAGTCATCTGAGATACAGCCTAGAATCAAGTCTTCCTTATTGCATGTCTTTTCTTACTACCTACCCACTTCAAAGGCTTAGAAAATATATTTGAAAAGTATATACACATGTAGAATAATGCTGATGTTTGTTTTTTAAAATATTTCCTGAAGTATACTGCTTTTTATTTATTTTATTTTATTTATTTATTTATTTTTGACGGAATCTCACTCTGTTGCCCAGGCTGGATTGCAGTGGCATGGTCTCGACTCACTGCAACCTCCGCCTCCCGGGTTTAAGCAATTCTCTGCCTCAGCCTCCCGAGTAGCTGGGATTACAGGCACCCACCACCACGCCCGGCTAATTTTTGTATTTTTAGTAGAACAGGGTTTCACCATCTTGGCCAGGCTGGTCTTGAACTCCTGACCTCGTGATCCACCCGCCTCAGCCTCCCTAAGTGCTGGGATTACAGGCATGAGCCACCACGCCTGGCCTGAAGTCTACTGCTTTTTAAAAGAAATGTCAGGGGATGCAATACAGAATTTGTTTATTTATTTATTTTTGAATCTGACTTGTTGAAATAGTCCCAGAATGGATTTAGGCTATAATTCAACCACTAGTACTTCAGAAATGTGTCATAGGACTTCAGGCTTAGCGAAGTAACTGCTTTTTAATAGTGTTTACTCTTTAGTGACTTGCAGCATATTGCATAATCACTTTATGGCAAGAGAGGGAACATTTGAGGTTTCAGTATGAGACAACGTGGTCCATTTTTTCATCCTGGTTTCCTGCCAACCAAATCAGCATACTCTGGTTCATAGGGTATCTCAACTATGCAATTCCTGTGAACACATCAGGATGCTGCTGAGCACGTAGTGAGTCTGATATTCATTATATAAATATACACAGTAATAACAAATGTTTATTATATATTAATGGAAATTTAGTTTTACATAGTATAGGAGACTTTAGCACTGGTTCATGCCAACGAATGAGAACTTATTTCTCTGAATGTCCTGTACTTGCAGAATGAAAGTACAAGAAAATACAGTAAAAGAAAATCAATAATATATTTACTGAACTCTTAATAGAAGCTACTTGATATTTTCAATGTTGAGTCATAAAAATTAAATATGATAAAATTAGGGGGAAAAAGAGAATGAATATGCATACTGGCCCACGTTTATGGTAGAAAAAGGAGAAGTTACCAGCAGGCATTCTTTTCATATGATGGAGATTTAAACTAAGCAGAACTATTTCACAAATGCAAAAATAGTAATTATTTAGCCTGAAATTAGAATTTCAAAAGTAGGCCCAATCAAGACATAAGACACGTCTGCTGAGAGGGTTACTCACCGGAAGTAGATCCAGCCACAAGCAGCCATGGAGCGGATAGGGCTGGGAAAGCTGGTCAGCAATGGCATATTCAGTTTGGTGGTTAATTCTGAAAGGTCCAGCATAAAGAGGTGGAACAGCAAAACTCAGTGGCTACAAGTCTGTGAGTGGACAGTCTTCAGAGAGTGCAGATCAGAACAGACAGAAGATGAGAGCAGAGCAGGCCTCCAGTCTCAAAGGAAGGAGGGTAGATGACCCATAGCGGCCCTCGGGTATAGGAGATCACATGGGAATCCTGCTACTGGAGTGGAGAAGAGATGGATTGTATACAACAGGACAGAGTCTGTGTCTGGGATAGAGGATGCAGACGGAGAGCGTGTGAAGAGGCCACAGTGCACACTAGTGGAGGTCCCAGGACCTTGCTGTGGCTAGGGGAGAAGAAAGGGATGCAGGAACAGGGAACCAGAGAGGCCGTTTCAGTCATTATGTTGCTCTTGTTATCACTTTATGGAATTTCAGTTTCTATAATGTGATATTCTCATTGAACAGTCATGCCTGAATCCCATGTTAGTCTACCATATATTTCAGTTACCTTCAGTCCTTTCTGTAATATGGTAGGGCTGTTATAAATAGACACACACTCATATTTTTATTCTAAATCAAATATCTTCTGTGATAACTCTGTCATCTCTAATTTCAGAACTTCTCCAACTTAACTCACCACAGAGCCATTTGTCATTTTTTGCAAAGGAAGGAAACAGTAGCTATCAATCTACACCTGCCACCATTCCATGTAGCAAGTTAATTGCAGTTATAGGAGCTCAAACAGTAGGTGTCATTGTTCCCCAGACGCTTATTAGGGATTACCAGCCCAGTTGAAATGATTAGGGAAATGAAAAGGAAAAATAGGTTATGCCAAACCCTTAGTAAGACTACAGCAGAATAGACATGACCTGCACACTTAAGGTGGAGAATGTTCTTGGCCAGGATGTTCATACCCTGTTCTCTCTTATAGTCTAGGCTGCAATCCCAAACAACAGGGCCCCTACCTCAGTTGCTCAGCTGAGCATCAAAACAACTTGGTGGTGGTGTTCTTCTGTGCCATGTTCAACCTTTTATTGTCTGCATTCTTTTACCTGGCCTCCAGTCAGATCTGTCTAGGATCTGTTGCTGCTCTACTTCTGTTTGCCTGAGTTTTCAGTGTCTGCAAGCCTGAGTTCGGATTTCAGTGTTTGGTTTCCACTAAGACTCGGGTTCTGCATCTCCTTTTGCTGTTTCTCCTCATCTCTACCAGCTCCCACCTCCCCTACACCACTTTCATGGTCCTATGAGCAGGATCAGATCCCATCCTTATCCCATTTCATCAGACTTCTATCCTTGAACTCCTTCTTTACAAATTCCTGGATTATACATATAACTTGCATATGTAGAACCTGTGTTTAATGTGCTTTATCAAAATCTGAGGATGTGTGCTTCAGGGGCTATAGACCAGTTTTGTTCATTGGGCTCTAAATAACTCACCTGGCATCTGAAACTTGGTCCTTGCTTACCTAACACCTGTCTTCTAGCAGGTGCACTGATCTTCCTCTCTTTTCGTTTTCTCATTTAATGCTCCATGAAAATCCTGGAATTGACCATCTTTTAAAATATCAGCCCAAGTTTTAATACTCACAGTGCAAACTGAGGCTAAATTATTAATTTAGCATGTTTGGATTAAGGTCAGCTTTGGTGTTTCATCTGTTTTCTAATTTTCCTGAAGGAGCATCAGATGGATTTATTTCTAAGTTAGCTGTTTTGCAGATAGACTTACTGTTTCTAATTTGGTTAATTTTTAATTGCTAGAGCCTGGGAACTATCGATTTTCTCAGTCTCATAACTGTACATTTATGTTAAAGAAAAAAATGACTTTGGCTAAATTCAAATTAAAATATTACTTGATATTTAGATGGGATCTGAATATTATACCATGCCACTGCTATTCCTGATATGTAGAAAACTTCTTTCTAAAGCATTTTTAGGTAATTTTTCTGAGGAATGGCTTTCCAAACAACTTATGCTAGAATTTGTATGTTTGTGATTTTTTTTTTGTATTATGCTTCATTAGCTTTAACTTCTAATAGTTTGTTTTTCTCCTTAAGAAGCATATTGTATGTTTTCTAAATGATTATTTTAAGGTAAAAATCCTTCATTATCACATGGGAGAGTTTTGGAGAAGTGTAGCATACCAGACATTATATTTATTCAAAACCCTGTTTTAGGCTACTAAGAAGTGGAACAAACAAGCAAGCTGTTTATTTAAGTATCCACTTTTTTAGCAAGATGATAAAGTCAGCTAGGTATCTGGATGTCTTTAGACACAACTACTTATTAAAAATATTTGTTTTCCTTTTTATTATAATAGTGTTTCTTTTTCTTTTTTTTTTCTTTTTTTTTTTTTGTTTTTGTTTCTGAGATGGAGTCTCACTCTGTCGCCCGGGCTGGAGTGTAGTGGCACAATCTCGGCTCACTGCAACCTCCACCTCCCAGGTTCAAGTGATTCTCCTGCCTCAGCCTCCAGAGTAGCTGGGATTACAGGCACCCGCCACTACACCTGGCTAATTTTTATATTTTTAGTAGAGACAGGGTTTCACTGTGTTGGCTAGGCTGGTCTCAAACTCCTGACCTCAAGTGATCTGCCCACCTCGGCCTCCCAAAGTGCTGGGATTACAGGTGCGAGCCACCGCGCCTGGCCAGAATAGTGTTTCTAAACGGAGGGGGCACATCCCCCCTGCCTGTGGAGCTCTGCTGTTTTGGTTTTGGTTTTTGTATTATGGTAAAATATAAACAAAGGTTGCCATCTTAGCCATTTTTAAATGTACAGTTCAGTGGCATTAAGTACATTCTCATTGTTATACAACTGTCATCACCATCCATCTTCAGAACTCTTTGCATCTTGTAAAACTGAAATTCTGTACTCACTAAACACTAATTTCTCATTTCCTCCTTTCCCTATCCCCTGGCAACCACCATTTCACTCTCTGTCTTTAAGAATTTGACTACTCCGGGTACCTCATATGAGTGGGATCTTACAGTCTTTGTCCTTTTGTGACTGGCATATTTTACTTAGCATACCTCAGGGTACATCCATGTTGTAGCATGTGTCAGAATTTTCTTCCTTTTGAAGGCTGAATAATATTTCCATCTATGTATATACTACATTTTGTTTATCCTTTCACTTGTCAATAGACACTTAGGTTGCTTCCATCTTTTGGGCATTGTGAATAATGCTGCTATGAACATGGATGTACAAATATCTGTCCAAGTCCTTGCTTTCATTTCTGTTGGGTATATACTCAGCAGTGGAATTGTTGGGGCCAGGCACAGTGGCTCACGCCTGTAATCCCAGCACTTTGGGAGGCCAAGGCGGGTGGATCACAAGGTCAGGAGATCGAGACCATCGTGGACAATATGGTGAAACCCAGTCTCTACTAAAATACAAAAAATTAGCCGTGCATGGTGGCGTGCATCTGTAGTCCCAGCTACTCAGGAGGCTGAGACAGGGGAATCCCCTGAACCCGGAAGGTGGAGGTTGCAGTGAGCCGAGATTGTGCCATGGCACTCCAGCCTGGCAACAGAGCAAGACTCTGTCTAATAATTAAAAAAAAAAAAAAAAAGTGGAATTGTTGGAGCATATGGTAGTTCTACGTTTAATTTGTTGAGGAACTTCCATACTATTTACCCTAGCAGCTACATCGTTTTACATTTCCACAGGTAAAGTACACAGTTCCAATTTGTCCTTATTTTTGTCAACACTTGGTATTTTGTTTTTCTAATAATAGCCATCCTTTAGTTGTGAAGTATGTGGATTTCTTTAAAGATGGTTGTGTCTCATTGGTCAGGATTCTAAGTCTCAGGTCGTGCTAGGTGCCTACACAGAACCAGACCAACAGTATAACTGAGGAATGGCTACAAAGTTTACTACTGTTTGTCATACAATTTTTAAGACTCATTATTGAGTTCTTGATCTGAGAATCACCAGTCATTATTTTTTATTTATTTATTTTTTGCGTAGTAAGATGTAAGTATAGATTCTGGGTTTAATTCTAACAATGTTAATAAAAATATTAAGCATATGTTTAGAGCTATACTGAGAAAGATAAATTATATACATTTTAAATGCTTTTCTTCATATTTTTACCTCTTTATACCTCAGCATGATAAAGAAGAATTCACTTGTAGAAAATTACACCTTTATATCCATTCTGCCTAGGTCTCTTGTTACTTCATTCCTCAGTTTCCCTGCCTCTCTGTGGACTTCCCTTTGTAGAACTTCAGATTTTAATAAAACGTAAGCCTCTAGTTTAAACAGGTAGCAGACTGCCTTTGCCTGATACAGTACTCCCAGCTTTCTATTTAATATCCAATGATGATATAAAAGACAAACTCTAGAGACAGCTCTGTAGCAATGATAAAGAAAAGCCATGTCAAAAGTCACATCATCTATGGCGTGGACGGAGAAACATATTTTTACCTTGCAGACTTCATGTTCTGCCAACTAAACAATACAGATAGCCACAAAGAGAAAAGGAAGGGAGGAAAAACTGACTTGGCTCTCTTCTGCTGTCTATTGCACTAATCAGAAAAGCTAGTGACATTTCCTCAACTGAGCAGAAACTTATTTTCTGAACCATCTAGAGCCGAGTTGTGTTTTTATTGTTTTTCACCTCTCTGCCCTCATCAGCTTTTTTATTTCAATATCCATTCAGACAAGAATACTCAGTGTACAGAACAATGGGGAAGAAAGGGATTCTTCTCCTGGGATGCTCAGTCACCTAGCAAAAGCATTTGAGAAAGGGATAAAGGGAAGAAGATTATTGGATTTTCATATGTGCTTTCAAGTGTACACTACCCCAAAACAAACCACAAATTTGTTTCCAGTTCTCCAGCATAATCATAAAATTGGACCAAAAAGCAAGTCCACCTAAGTAGGCATTATAGATTATTCTAGGGCAGATTCAGATACTGGCTCTTCAAATCTAAATCCAGGAGGAGGCATCTGCTCACAGCCAAGTGGACAATTATATAAACTAAGAACAATCTACCTTCCCAGGTTGTTGGAACTGGTTCTGCCTAGATTGATTGTTCCACCTTAAGAACCACTAAACACAAAGAAACTATTTGGGACCTATGAAGAAAAATTACAAACTAGGGGAAAGGATGATCTGCCTCAATGACTCAGCATAAAAGCAGAATCTAGAGAATTGATTTTTATAAAATTCAGATGAAAACTTGAGAACTAATATTGTTAATCTTCTCAAAAAATCCTCAAGGACATAAACCTTTTTGAAACAGTAGGAAGCCATTAAAGCAGAGTAGGCTTGGAATTGAAAGGCTGGGGATACAGAAAGAACAGCTGAAATGAGGAGGGAAAAACAACCCTAGAAATGTTTTAGAAGAGACTTTAAAAACTATGTTGAAGGCAGTAAAGAAGAGAAATGATTAAAAATCAGTCAAATACATGATAAAAGAGAAACTGGAGACGCCCTTCTGGAATGAAAAGGAACAGGATAAAGATAAAAACTACGTGACAGGCTGGACACAGTAGTTCTCTCCTGTAATCCCAGCACTTTCGGAGGCCAGAGTGGGAGGATCTCTTGAAACCAGGAGTCTGAGACCAACCTGGGCAACATAGCAAGACTCTGTCTCTGTAAGAAAATAAATAAATTGCCCAGGTGTGTTGATGTACACCAGTTTCTTGTGAGGCCGAAGCAAGAGGATTGCTTGAGCCCAGGAGTTTGAGATTTCAGTGAGCTATGATGATGCCACTGTACTCCCTCCAGCCTGGGTGACGGAGCAAGACACTGTCTCAAAAAAAAAAAAACCCACAAAACTATCAGAGTAATAATGTTAGATGTGAAAGTCAGAGATTGAAAAGCCAATCTGAAAACTATAATTTGAATGAAGAAACATATTTGTAAAATACAAGTATAGTGTGTGCCCAGCTAATTGAGAGATAAATTTAAAAAAAAATTAGTAGGACCTAGAGATCTGATTATAAGCATTGGTGGAAAGGCAAAGAAAGTAATGAAACTATAATTTTCTTGTCTTACATAAACAGGAAAATAGAAGCAGGTGTCAAGAGGTTTTTTTGTCTATTTTCTTATTTTATTAGGTTGACGTGAAAGTAATTGCACTTTTTGCCATATTTTTAATAATAATGAGAGAAATATGGGCATGAGAAGCAACCATAGTAGAATTGTGCATAGGATTCCTATATTCAGAATGCCTTCAAAAGATAAGAGCAATGTCAGAAACCAAAGGAAAAGCAAGTTCCCAAATTAGAAAGTACAAAGCAAAAACAATACTAGAACAAATCAGCTAGGACAATAAATGTAAGTGGATTAAATTATTTGAGAAAAGCTAAACTACTAAAAAAAAAAAACCTAGTTGAACTATACCATTTGCAAAAGAGTCATACCTAAAACAAAGTGGCACAGAAAGATCAATAATAAAAAGATAAACATATCTACGGTATTATCAAATCATATAAATTTAAATTCTTACATTATCAAGGGTAAACAAGTAAACACATTTGAAATATAGGACTTATACATATAACTATATGTCCATAACAAAATTTACAGGATAGATAGCATTGAGAATTTTGTAAAATTAATAAGATTTCAAATAAATGAGCACCTATATACATATGTGAAATTTTGCATAATATAGAGCTCAATCAAGCATTTCTGCTACTTTATAAAAATTATTCAGCTATCTTTAAAAGTTCTTAAAGAGCAGAAATTTTGATAGCCAATAATTTCTGACCACAGTGTAATTAATGACAAAAACTTTCAATCAACCAATGAAAACTCTTGTAAGGGGACAGGAGGAAGGGGATAACTCAAAGAGTAAATAAGAATCTCAAGTGCATACTGTTAAGAAAATAAAGAAAAAGTATATATGAAAATTTATAGAATAAAGTCTAAACTTATTTTAAGAGGTAACCTAACACAAGATTGAAGATAAATCAGCCACACATTCAGAATAAGAAGTTATAGAAAGGAAGAAAAAGCAACCTCTTTGAAACCTAAAATAATTCATTAATAATAAAAGAAAACAGAAAACGAGCAGAACTGATACTTGAATTCGGGAGCTGGTTCTTTGAGACTAAAAATGAAAATTACAAGATAGAAAATTCTTGATAAGCTTGAGAAAAATGAGAGATGATACTAATAATCATAACTGAAGTTTACTGTAAGGGTTATAATAATTTTTTAAAAGATTAGAGAATACATCATGCAATTTGAAACTAATAAACATGAAAACCTAGATGAAATAAAAATTTTCTGCATTATATAAATTTGGAGAACATCTATTTGAATCAAAAAAAGCACTTTTAGTAACCTAATTCTAATGAAATAACTAGAGGTATAGCCAACAATTTATGTAAATAGCAGCATTATTTGAGAATAAAGATTGTTCAGAGTATCGAGGACATACCCTGAAGCCAGACTACATAGATAGAATGGAGCTGTGTAAACTTAGATACTTAAATTCTCTGCTCTTCAATTTTCTGTAAAATGGAAAAGGGATACAGTATATAAGTGAATTATCCATTACATTTTATAATTTTGTTAATATAGACCTTAGTGTAAAAACTAAACTTTCCATTTCTTTTTATGCTAAAACATACTAAATATATAAAATTGAAAACATCAATAATTGTCAAAAGAAGCTGTATAAAAGATGAGTATTCTGACATTTCGATGGGTTATATTTGATTTGTTAGAATAAATTTAATATAGCATTAAGATATAGCTGTGAAGAGTAATTTTTTCTTCAAATCAGGCTATTTAAAAGAATAGGAAACATGAATTAGAGAAGGTATGAGGATAAATATTTTCCTCTTTTTGAGTTATATCCATGTAGTATGTTTTCAATTTATATTCTAGTATATTATGCACAGTATGCAATTTTAAACCAAGATTTGAGGCTACCCAAAATGTCTGTAATGATGCAAAAGGATGATGCAACTTTTATCAGAGTTTAAATACCAACAAATGTTCCACTAAAGTTCTGCATATGATAATCATAGCTAGAGGTTAAAACAAAAGGAATAAATATTGAGGATTGAATTGTTTTAATGTATGACACTATGAAGAATGCACTAAAATTATGAACAAAATTTAATTTAGAAAGCCATTATACCATAACAAATATGTGCATTGTTATATATGTATAATGTTGATGCTGCATATCAACTTATCGTATTTTAAGATGATACTAAAAATACTATATTTTGTTAAATTGACAAATTAAGAATTTTAGGCTATTTTGATGATTGTTACATGAGCTTTATCCTTAGGTTTATTTAAGCGAACATCTCATAATTGTCTTTTTAATCCTTGCTCAATTAAAAAAAGAGTAAATTTAAATATTATATCCTAGAGAAACTGATAATTTTGTTAGACCTCATGTTTCCTAATAAAACGGTAATATTTTACAGGCAGGATTTTATATGCCATAGAGGAGAACATACTGAAATAAGACAACGCACAGAAAAGAGAACACATGCTTTTCAAGATGTCTCCATTTTGTAGATTTGAAACCTCTTTTTAAATGTATGCTTTTTTATTTCAAATCAAGAGATTTAATTAAAGAATCACTTGTCAACAGGCATCTGTGCATCTTATCACATGCAAATTTTACAGACTAATATTGCTGAGCATAATTGGCTTAAGGAAATATAGTTTGGGTTTTGCTAGTAAAAATAAAGACTAAAGATATTTCAATATGTCATAGAATATATTTCAAAGTAGGCTTAGAATCTATTTTAAATGACCATGCCAATAGAATATTCAGTTGCATCATCACTAACAGTAGGCTTAGGTTTGAATTTGGCCATAGAACTGGGATCTGCATATGAGTGAGCATCTTTCTTTCCATTTTAAATACTTGCTTTGTCAACATTAGGAAATGAACGCTTCCATATCCAACTGTTTATAATGCATAAGTAAGAAATTTTCTTAGCAAATCAGTCAAAGACGCTGAAAAAAAATTCATTATTCTTAGCTCTCCGAAGAGGGTAAAAAGCAAGCTACATACAGATGAAGAAGGAAATTTCTTTATCTTTCACTTTGGCTTATTTGCTTATTGTTTAAATGCTTATTGCCTTTTTGTCAGTGTCTTAGTTATGGAAGAAATCTCTATTGCTTTTGTTAAATATTCTTTAAAATTTTGTTAAGGGTGAATTGTTAAGTACATCCCACAGGAACTATGGCGGTGGATGCCTGACTAAATACCAAAGTTATTTTGGAATCTAATAAACCATAAATGTATCTGATACTATGTCATAAAACTAAATATGCAGTCATAACCTTTTGTAATCATGTAAACTTTAGGCAGTAAGCCTGAACCTGAGATAGAACAATTTTTTGAGGTTTCTTTTAGAGGTAAAAGAAACTACAGAGATCACTAGCCAGACCTTTCATTTTCTATGTGAAGAAACCAACCCAATGCAGCCAAGCTAACCAACAACCTGCCAGTGATTTTGTCTAATCAACTGCAGAGCCAAGACCAGAACTTTCTTTTCTGATTACCAGTGGAAAATATCTTCTCCTAATGCTTTATATAGGAATTCTATTAAAAGAACTTGAAATTATAGACTAGTTAAATATACCAGAAATTCCAAAGGACTATTAAAAACATCACACTTTATTCTAAAACTGTCCTAAAATAAATATGCTAGCAAAAATATGAATATGATTTAATTACTTGGTTTTATTATTGATTTATTCGTTTACTTTTGTACTCTGAGAAATGTGCTCTACAACTGATTTAGATGGTTCAGGTCATTTTTCTCTAAGCTGTTGGAGAAATTTCGATGTGTTGACTTTTATTCACTGAGGTTAACATGAGTTTTCCGTATCCTACCTTCATTACTTAGATTACAGTATTTAAAAATCATTATTGGGATATTTAAGTAATTGAAGTTTTGAAGAATTTTAGTTGCGAAGATAAGAGCCTCTGCCACTCAGTGTCTTCCACAAACCAACAGTATTAGAATCACTGAGGAATGTATTAGAAATGCAGTCTCAGCTTCCCCTTCCCAAGACCTAGACCTGCTGAATCACAGTCTGTATTAACAAGTGCCAAGGTGATTCCTATGCACATTAAGAATGAAGAAGCACTTATTTAAAGAGTTAGAAATCTCAGAACCTCATCTTGTTTGTTGTTTCCTTGTCTTTTTCTTTCTTGCCTTTCTTTCTTCACCCTCCCTTCATGGAAAATGAACATCAAAACATCAGGATCTGCTTTAATAGTCAAAAAGAAGACAGTTCAAAAGGATGTGGAAAGGAGGAGAGGAAATACATGTCTTCATTCTGAGATGGCATAGAGGACTAACAGGCTAATGACATGTCTTTGGAATGTTTTTTAGCATCTAGCAGATCCACATTCTTTACTCTCTTCTGGGTTTTCCCCGAGTCATTACTCATATGGGTCCCTGCTCTCAAAACCAAGGTTGTGTAACTGTACTGAGAAGTGGAGTATAGGAGTTAATTATATATTGTTGAATTTACAGAGGGTAAGCCACAAAGTAGCAAAAGCAAGGACTGCTTGTTCCAGTTAAAGACAGAAAGCAGAAAGGGTTTTATTGTTGGTTATGTAGCCTGGGAACCACTATGAATAACAGGCATTGTGAGGCAGAGGAGAAATTGTTGTAATTAAAAGCAAAGTAAAATACCTAAGGCCAGGCCTCCATATCCAAAGATGACTGTAGTGAGTAATGGATTGAAAGACAAGCTAGTGGAGTGATTAAGAGCTTAGACTCTGAGCTAAAACCTTTCTTGGTTCAAATCCTAGCTCATTTATTTCTTGGTTCTATGGCTGTGGGTAAGTTATTTAACCTTTCTAACCTCTTCATCTGAAAACAGGGAAAAGAGTAGTACCTCTTCATAGGGTTATTGTAAATAATAAGTGAAAAAAAAACTATGTAAAAGTACTTAGCACAGTGTCTGGAACATAGTAAGTACTCAGTAAGTCTTAGGGTGTTTGTATTTATTTACTTATCTTCTTAATTATTTAATACGAATTTGAATCAGCTTCCCTTTTACCTAATCACATGATTTTACGTGGTTTTTCTGGGTTTGTCTGTGGCCATAACAAAGAGCTACAGCTTTAGCTAAAGAAAATTATCTTGGGCGAAAGAGTAAACATTTTTTGATCACCTCTGGGATAATGAGTACTATGGAAGACATGATGGTGGTGGTAGTGGGAGGGAGTGTGATGAAAGAAAATGAGAAATATTGTACAGTCCCTTGAGGCCTTGAGATTCTACATTGAAAGAGATGAGATATACACTTACATGGGAGAAAAACCTGACAGATGATTCCCAAGCAACATATTCATATGTTGAAAATTATATCGTATAAATTAGAATGTTTGGAGTAATTGAAAGACAACTATCAATATTGGTCCTTAACAACTTTGATTTTCTTTGAATGTCTCTACAAAGAAAGAAAAGAACTATTAGGACTATTAGGTAGAACTATAGTTTGACACGACTAAAGATTGTCTCAAATCTGCTCAATATTTAACCTCTTCTTTTAAAGGATAGGCACTTTTAAATCTTGATTCACAAGCCAACTAAACACTAGAGGGCAGATTGTGAGAATGTAATGTGTTAATACAATTAAAATAGCTGCCAGCCTCAACACTCATTGTGGTTATGTGAACATAAGTGCAGGCATGAGGGGGAAAGTTCTGAAGCATGCTAACCTGATAGTGTTTTGTAATTTTATCATTCTACTTTGTGTTGACCACTTCTCAATACTTTTAAAAGAATTCAGGCTTTAAAAAAATGGGAAAATCATGAAAATTTGTAAGTGCTCAACAAAAACATTGTAAATTAGATGTTAAGCTGACACATTACAGAGCTTGAGATGCTTTCCATCCTGAGAAACTTAGGAAGAAAATGTGGCTTCGAAAAGATGGTTTAGAAATAGTCATATAGAAAACAATATCGGTTCCTTGTTCTCTATCCCTGTCGTCCCCACTGCCCTCTGCCTGTTGAGAGCAGAGTTTTAGAAAGATGTTCTGTTTCCTGGCCTAAGAGGAGAAGGAAGGGAATGGATTTGGGCTGGGAAAAGATAGAAATAGGTGAAGTAGGTGGCAGGAAGGCACATGGCCACAATTAACATTTTAGGAAAATGAAAAGACCTTGAACTAGGGCTGCTGTGGCAATAGGTTGACAGCTAAGAGATGGTTTTCCAAATTTAGTTATAGAATTGTCTGCCTTGGACAACTTTTAAAAGGAGAAAAAGCCACTGTTATAAGCAAGCAGGGCCATCTCCATTTCTAGAAACAAGTGAAAATGAGCATCTTTCATTGGATGGTTAAACATTGTTTTGGGGATCACTTGGGACTGAGCTAATTTCTTTCAGCCTGCGATCCACTTCACATGTTTGGTTCATCATCTCTGATCTTTCATCTAACCTGACTTTCTCTTTGCTTCTTTTCTGCAGTGCTCATGTACCCCAAGTCAGCAATGTGTCTGCAACCGGAGAGTAAGTTATTTGGGTTGGGTTTTTGGGCTTTGGGTTTTTTTTTTTTAATGCCCTGTCCCACTTATTAAACAGAAAAAAAAAGCAACTCTAATGGTGTACAGTATTGGAAAATTCAGATAATAAGCAGCCAGTGACTTTTAAACTATATGGAGGAGAGGACTACATAGGTATTCTTATTTGAGCTTCTATATGTGTATTCCTACAGACAACTCCAACATTGGAAAATATGAGCTTTTTGTTTACTTCATTAAAAATAATGCCAGGATCAATTAATATTAGCAAGTAGTCTAATGTACTTTGGGAGGCATCTTGCAATGGATAATGTAATTAAAGGTTAAACCATTAATCATGTCTTTACTCCCTACTTAGTTCATTTGACTGAACCTACATTGACTGAGTGCCTGCAACACGTCAGGCGCATGTTAGATGTGTAATGTCAAGGACGCCTTGGGCCCTGTCTTCAGGGATGTTACACTCTAATAGGGATGCAGAAAAGAAAGCAAATTAGTGATGGCAACAAGTCCCTGGTCCACAGGGCAGTGGCGGTACTCTCTTAATTATGTCATCACATGCCTTTTCCTCCAAAGTCTTCCACTGACACTTAGACTAAACCTAAACTCCAGTTATCAGTCCTTGCTAATGCCTCTGACCATATTGCTCATTACACTTCAGCCACATGACCTACTGTTCCCACGGAGGGCCAACCTTATTGCTGCCTCAGAGCCTTTGTATTGGCTGTTCCTCAGCCTGGCCAGCACTTTTTTCTCATTCACTCCTCGTTCAAGTGTCATCTTATCCAGGATTCTATTCCTAACTACCCATATTCACTTGCCACCACTTTACTCAATGTTTTAGAGAACTTATTACTATTGGAAATTACATTATTTCTTTATTATCTATCTTGCCCTACGGGAATGTAAGCTCTGTAAATACAAGGAACTTGTCTGTCATGTTCATTGCTATCTCCCTACTGCCTAGAGAAGTTCCTGGCATATATTAGGCACTAAATAAATAGTCACTGAATGACAGAACAGCTCCTTGCTCACATATGTTTCCATTACACCTACCTATTCTCCTTACTTGCTGGGACATGAGTGGGCCTCTTTGGAGCATCTTCTCTTGGCAAGGATCAGGTGTAGGAGGTGGGGTAGATGTGGTGTGATAGGGAGAAGAGAGAAGAATTAGAAGAAGCACTAGTTGAAATGAATTTGGATCTAACAGGATGGATTTCCATTTTCTTAATTCCTTGTTGGGAGAGAAAACAATCAGAGGGCAGGACTGACCTCCTTTAGCTTTGTCAGTTTCAAAGATATTCAAGAACTGCACCAAGGCTGACATGTTCTTGCCTTTTTCATTTCCTAATAATCTTTCCTTATGGGTCTTGTATAGCTTGGAAAAAGTGCAGGGTTGTTCTGTTTAGATATTTCAGTTTCATCTGGATGTTTGGTATGTTGTAGGAAGCCACCTCTGATGTAATGCATTTTATGGCATCCTCATGAATATGTTATTTATATATTATGTACATCTCTTATGTGCATATTAATTTACTCACAATCCTCTGTACTGTGATTAAATAATCTTGAATCATTTGAGACATGGAGTTCTATCTATAAAAGTTCTAATGCCCAAGTTAATTTGACTATACTTCCTCATTATCTTAAAATATTTTTAATAAAATTTGAATAACTATGAGTCGATTATAAAACTGCATTTGAAAAATCTGAAATTAGTTAAGTTCTCAAAACACAGTTTATTTAAGTAAATGCTACTTCTCAGCCTGAGCATTTAGAACATATATATATAGTTCTTTTTCAAGCGAAGAAAAACAAGGTTTGAGGACTCTGAGTTAAGAGCTTTCCATACCAGCTTATTTGGAAATAATGTGGTGCTAAAAGGTATACACACCTTGAAAGATTCTACAGCTTTAAAAATGATTCCATTTCTAGCTTACCATGCACTTTTCAGCACTTTGTGCTTATGTGTTTTCCTCATGTTGAACAAAGTAAATCTATCCTTCCAATTTCAGTAATATGTTCTGGGGTGTTTGCATGAATACAGCTTTAATTATAAACATCACAATTTAATTGAATAGAGGTTAGGAAAGATTATGCCATGCTGTTGTGAGTTCTAATTGTTCTGGTGAGTTTTTTCCCAAAATATCATTATTTTCATATAATTTTGTCTTAGATTGTAAATAGATAATAGGCATCATAAAATTATTTGTGCCAGTTTGCTTTGCAAATCACTCTCTCTTCCTCTGTAGAATTGGTATGAAATTGCCTTTGTAAGAATAGGTCTACTATTATTCTATGAGGGCAAAAAAAATCTTTCCTCATTCTTCCTTATATTGATTGACCCCTGTTTCCTGAATGCCTCATAATTGTTGCTAGACTTGCCATGAGCATTTCAGCAATACTGGCTTCACAAAGATGAGAAAGTTGTTAAATTGGCAGAATTGTTTTCGTTTAGTTTTGGTTTTAACACATAATGCAGATATTTTTTAGATTAATGCCTCATCATCTCTCTTTGCTTATGAAGTTCTAAAGACTTTCCACTGGAAATACAGATGTTCCCAAAACTGTAGGCACAGATTTTTTAAGGTGATCACTGATGAACTTGACTGCTTGAATGACTCTGCATTCTTTTTTGCCAGACTCTTAGAAAGAACCATCCGATCAGCTGTAGAACAACATCTTTTTGATGTTAATAACTCTGGAGGTCAAAGTTCAGAGGACTCAGAATCTGGAACACTATCAGCATCTTCTGCCACATCTGCCAGACAGCGCCGCCGCCAGTCCAAGGAGCAGGATGAAGTTCGACATGGGAGAGACAAGTGAGTTGGCATTGATTCTTCCTCTTACTTGAGTTTTCTCTTTTTAAAAGAAATATACACCCAAATTAGTCGCTGTGTTATAGTCATACCTCCTGGTCCTCTCCCATTTCAGTATTTAGGTTAAAACTTTAAGAGTTATCAGTTTGTCCATTCTAAACTTAGCTACATTTGGAAATTCATAGGTAATTGCATAAATATTTCCGTTTCATCCAGACATTTGGTATGTTGTTAGAAGCCACCTCTGATTGAATACACCCTATGGCTTCCTCATAAATATCTTATTTAGAGGGATTCTGAACCATGGGCAGAGAAAGTTACCATATGCTTGTCCAGAGGTATTTTTTTTCTTGCTAGACAACATTAAGTTGACTATTTAGACTTGTTTATGGAGCAGCTGATTTCTCCATTATATTTATGTGATTAAATAGTCAGATATCCCTATAATACTCTGACATTTGATTATGTTTTAGTATAAGAAAGGTTGGGCTTAAATCTACTCAAAAAATGAAAAGCTTAAGTTGTTTATTATAATAATCACTAATTTTAAGGCATTCCCATAGTATGAATTTTAAGAATAGTGTTACAAAGAGCTTTATTCTCCATGAAAAGATTTAATAAAATACAGATGAACAATTACCATTTATATTATTTAATAATCATGACTTAAATTGTCAAGGAAAATAAATTTATATAGAGAATAGACTATACAGATATTCATATATTTTCCCTGAAAGTTCCAAGGTTATTTTTATTGACTATGGCCTTTAGCCTCTTTATGGTTTAATAATGACTCCTTATTAAATGTCAGAAACTAACCTGAACCAGACCCTAGCACCCCTCATTCTTTTTCTTTCTTTTCTTAATTTTTAATCTTTATGAATATATAATAGTCCCACACCCCTCATTCGCATTCTTTTTCACTTTGACTCATAATCTACATTAAACCCTTTATGGAAAAAGAAAAAAAACTTTTTTTCGCTTAAAGAAAAACATAAAAGATAAACAGTATAAATAAGTTTCATGCTATACCTCACCGAGATGTTTAAGAGCTATATTAGCAAATGTAATTTTAGAAATAAAGCAGTATCAATAATATAACCCACTGATTTACAAGTAGCATGTGCAGTACTTTTAAAATAAATTTTCATGGAGCTGGTGGATAGAATAGTTGTAATATTCCATTTAGAAAATAGAAAAAGTATAATATAGGAGATATTTACATTTCTTCTCCTGTGGCATGACATGAGATATTTACATTTAAAATTAGCTACTGACATGTTTATAGAAAGTGTTTAGAAGTATAATTAGTTTGTGTACTACCTCTAATGTGTTATAGAGAAAGCACAAATTATTCATTTAACACTGTTCTTATCCTCTGCCTCATTTTTTGCTGAGGAGTATGTAGCAACATTTTGCATTTTAAAAATATCCTCAGTGTGTCACGATATCCTGCTTTCCACCCTCTTTGTTTGGACAGAGGGCTAGCAGGTGGAGGTGGGAAGTGGTGGGGAGCATGAGAGAGAACAGAGAGTGATGGTGCTGTTGGTGGATGCTTGGCAGCAGGTCTGGGGGAGGACAGTGGAGGTAGAAACAGATAGGGGCCAGACAGGGCAGGGAAATGTGAAACACAGCCTCACCTCTCCTGAAGAATTTAAATAGAGAGCTTCCCAAGCCCAGGGACATTTCTTGCATAAGTTATCTTGATTGTTTTTTACTAGCAGTATTAGGAGAACCAAAGGAGATGGGGAATGGTAGCTGAGTGATGGTATGAAGACTATACCCATGAAACCCTAGCCTTTCCCTTAATTGTTCTTCTCTTGCTATTCCCTTCACCACTCCTCCTGGTCAAATCACAGTTGGGCATTGAGTGAGAGAATCTTGGGGTACAAACAGTACCTAACCTGGCACACTATGATACAATCGTGTCTTGATAGTCCTTCAACTCCCAGCCCACACTGAACGGCTTCTCTTAGCTCTCCAGGTCTTTGGAAGAGTGAGACCCTTATCTCTCAAAACCCCCAGATCCACTAATTTTGTCTGGCCCAGCTTTGACCGTAGGTCAGTAGTCATTTCCTGCAACCCCTCTCCCCTTATCTTCATGCTGGGTTCTGTTATCCTTTCACTCACCTTCTTTGATCCAGTGCTCTCATTCCGCTTGTTTCTTCCCAGCTCCACTCTTTCCTTTTGCTCATCTGCTTGCTTGAAATAGTTTTCCAGCAGGCTGATTCTTTCAGCATCTCCTCTTTGGTCTTAGATTTCTGTTTTAACCTTCCTTTCAATGAGCCGCCATAAAGGTCTTCTCCAGTATCTCCAGGAGAGTCATGAACATGTCATAAATTATAAGAAGATCAAGAATCATTAATATAGCCTACAGTCAAGAGTTCGTCATAGTATATGCTTCTATACAATTGATTCATTTAAGATTTTTCACAAGTCTTTACTCAAAAAATAAGGAAAAATTAAGCTAGGCTGTAATATTCTATTCAAAACTATAAGCTTTATGAAGTGGTTAAAAAGTGTTTAGAAACATAGAAATCTATTTATATTATTATCTATTATTTTGCCTCTAGTAACTTAGAGATGCAACAAATTAAAAAATATTCTTGAAGAAGCCAATGATGACTATGTTTCAAGATGAGTAGAAGGGTCAGTAAAGTCATACTAAAGTCGTCATGGCCCATTTTTGAAATAGCAGTACCGAAGATAGACAAAGACTACAAATAACTTCATTCATAGGTACAAATGATTTGTTATTTGTCTAAATTCATAAGGAAATATAATCAGACCTATATTACTATTTGCTACAATTTTGTAGCAAATTAATCTTCATTATGTAATAATAAAATCTTCATTATGTAAAAATATTCAGCTAAATTCATTTAGTAAAAAAATCTACTATCTGCCAAGTTTACAGAAATGTGAAATTTTGGTAATGGGTATATGGAAGTCTGTTATGATAGTGTCTCTACTTCTGTATATGTTTGAAAAAAATCATAAGAAATATTTTTTAAAAGCAAAGCATCATTTAAGTGAAAATGATTTTCAATCTTCTAAAAACACAGTGAACTGGAAAATTGATCCAAATGTTTCTTTGTTATATAAAGACTATATTAAAATCCTACTGCAAAGTAAAAGAAAAGCAGGCTATATTTGGGGAATAATAAATAGTTCAGCATTGCCAGGACATTAAGTAAGTATGTAGGGGTGAGGAGAAAATCCTGAAAAAAATATGGAAATAAATCTAGATAATGAAAGTGAGAGGTCCAGAGATCTAAGTTCAGTGAAATCCAAGTTATGTCAAATGTGATTGAAATCTGACAGAATATTGCAGGAAGGAATTGAGTACACCTGCTCCATCTAAGATTAGATTTAAAGAAATACAACCATGTGTTTTATACAGAGCTGTATCTAAATAAAGTGCCCCTGAAGTCTTCAACAGTGATAATTGAGCACCCAGTACTATAAGGTGATTCAATGATGAAAAACAGATATCGCATCCAGGCTCATGGATCTATAGTGTAATCGAAATTAGAGTTCAACAAAGTGAAGTAGAAGAGACACGTGGATGCACGTAAAAGCAAAGACTTCCCTCGGAGGAGACAGGATTTGTCCATGAGCACAACAGCATGGTCAGATTTTCATATATTTATTTTGACAGGATTTTTTCTAGTCATTCATTCACTATTCAAAATGATCATAAAATAAACTTTACTTTCTTATTTTTAAAAATCGTTTTTAGCTGTCGTCTTTAGTCTGCTTGGGCTGCCATAACAAAATACCACCGACTGGGTGGCTTAAACAACAAAAATTTATCTTCTGACAGTTCTAGAAGCTGTAAGTTCAAGGTCAAGGTGCTAGAAGTGTCCGTTTCTGTTGAGGCCTCTCACACTGGCATGCAGATGGCTACCTTTTCACTGTGTCTGCACATGCCCCTTCCCCTGTGTGCACACTCCTGATGTCTCTCCCTCTTCTTACAATGACATTAGTCCTATTGGATTAGGGTCCCACCCTTGTTACTCTTTTAACCTTATTTACCTCCTTAAAGGCCCTGTCTCCAAATATGGTCACATTGGGGGTTAGGACTTCAAAATGTGAATTTTGAGGGTACATAAATCCGTCCATACTAGCTTTAAAGCATTAAAGATCCTCCATTTAAAGGTTATAATTGGGGCTGGGCGCAGTGGCTCATGCCTGTAATCCCAGCATTTTGGGAGGCCAAGGCGGGCAGGAGTTTGAGAAGAGCCTGGCCAATATGATGAAACCCCATCTCTACTAAAAATACAAAAATTAGCCAGTGTGGTGGCGCATGCCTGTAGTCCCAGCTACTCAGGAGGCTGAGGCAGGAGAATTGCTTGAACCTGGGAGGTCGAGTTTGCAGTGAGCCTAGATCGCACCACTGTACTCCAGCCTGGGCGACAGAGCAAGACTCTGTCTCAAAAAATAAATAAATAAAAATAAAAGTGAAAAAAAAAGTTATAAGTGGACATATACCCCAAAAGCTAGGTTAATGGATACGAAAACATAGTTTGCAAAAGACCTAGTATTTGTTAGGACAACAGGGTGATTAGAATAAAAAATAAATTAATTATACATTAAAAATATCTAAAAGAGTGTAATTGGATTGTTTGTAATACAAAGAATAAGTGCCTGATGGAATGGATACCTCATTTACCTTAATGTAATTATTATGCATTGCATGCCTGTATCAAAATATCTCATGTACCCTGTAATTTATGTATATACACCTACCGTGTACACACAAAATTAAAAATAAATAAAAAACAAACAGAAAAAAAGGCTAGGAAAACTATGAAGAGTGATAAGATAGAATTTAAATAGTAAAATAAATAATTTTTGAGTTTTAGAATTACACCAAATTGATCCAGCCACCCACAGAAGGCACTGCTCTCAGTGCGTGGAGGGGAGAGATTGAGGAACATGTGCATGAGTATAAGTGCTTGCATTTAGTCCCTATCATCTTCTCCTCCTGTCTTCAATTACTTTGTACTTAGAATATCTCTTATAAATGTGCATAAATCTTTTATATAATTTTACTAAATATATATTTTCACATTAAAGTTGTAGAAAAAAGACTAAAATATGGAGTGTTAAAAATTACCAAAGATAGTATAACTTTGAAAATATTATGATAGTATTTAATTCATAATTTTGCCTGTTATACCCTGTCTAAAGATATGAATTTAGATTTCAGAATAAATATTTAATGTTATCTTTCATTTTGGGATATGGTTGAGCCAATAGTAAAATATGATATGTATTTTTACTCTTTAGAATTCATTTATTTCAAGATGCAGTTTTAGGTGTTTAGGGAGGTACATTAACTCACTCATACCACGAAGGAGGAGAATAAAGTCTCATTTATTTGTTCCTTACCAAGCCATGGTGCTGTGCTGATGGTTTTATTTGTTCCATGATATTGTTTCTTTTTTTTTTTAACTCAGTTTGCTAATTTACTCTTGTGAAAACCTATTATAGGAATGCTTAAGATATTAATACTTAAAACTGTTTTATGAACATCAAATGAATTAAATTCTATGACATTCATATCTACTTCTACAACTATGTCATGAAAGAGGTCTGTACTTGGAAGTAACAAATCCAGATTTCAGTTAAAATGCTTTGTATTCCATAGTTTTTATTAACTTATATAATTTCTACTAAGATTATCTATTAATAATTCAATGAGATTGAAATACACATTTCTTTTTTTTTAATTTTTTAATTTTTTTTATTTTATTATCATTATACTTTAAGTTTTAGGGTACATGTGCACAATGTGCAGGTTTGTTACATATGTATACATGTGCCATGTTGGTGTGCTGCACCCATTAACTCGTCATTTAGCATTAGGTATATCTCCTAATGCTATCCCTCCCCGCTCCCCCCACCCCACAACAGTCTCCGGACTGTGATGTTCCCCTTCCTGTGTCCATGTGTTCTCATTGTTCAATACACATTTCTACACTACTAAAATGGAAGATACAATTCCTTTTTAGATTTTTCTCCATACACTGTATGAATTTATAAATTTTAAATATATATATATTTAAACATCTACTGTGAATAATAGGAAATTTCTGTATAAACTTGCACTGTTCTCCCTTTTTGAATACAAATTACTTTTGGTAAAATACAAAAGCTGTCCATTGGTAGAAACAGCCCTTGCCAATTTGCCTCTAGGAATTATTTCTCTTTCAATGTGATTTATTTGGCACCAAGCAGTCCCAGGAGTGGCACTCTGCTCAGATTTTGATCAGAGATGCATACTGGAATTTCTGGGCACTCTTTGGATTTCCTAGGTATGATATGATGTAGTTAGAGTATCATTCAATGACCATTTGATCTTTTAAAATAAAATTAAGCTTTTTTCTCAATTCAAGGGGACTTATCAACAAAGAAAATACTCCTTCTGGGTTCAACCACCTTGATGATTGTATTTTGAATACTCAGGAAGTCGAAAAGGTACACAAAAATACTTTTGGTTGTGCTGGAGAAAGGAGCAAGCCTAAACGTCAGAAATCCAGTACTAAACTTTCTGAGCTTCATGACAATCAGGACGGTCTTGTGGTAAGTGAATACGTCTATAAAGTTTTACTTGTTAGGAAATATTACATCTCTTTTCTTTGCTTTGTAAAAAAATTAAAAGTAATTTCAGTCTTTCAGTTTTGAGTGCTGGAAGAGACCTTAGAGCTACTAAGTGTATATATATTTGTATTTCTTTTTAATAAATACAAAAATTAAGGCCGAGAAATATTATATTCTACAAAGGAACAAGAGACACCACACATTCTGATTTCCATTGTTTTTTTCTCTTTTTTTTCAAGCATTTTTAAATTTTGTTTTTGAAATAAAATTGCCCATAAAGCATTTTTTCTTCTTTTTCCCCATTCTATTTGTTCTTGTCTGAGTGAATATGTTTTATAAATTAATGAATGAACTTAAAGCAAGGTGAAATACACAGTGAAAGAGGATCAGCTATCTTCATGTTCAGAAATCTCTTCATGTTCAGAAATTTTGTTTCAAATCTGTACTCTTTTAAAGTATTTTCTTCCAAGTTAATCAGAAACAAAAAGAAATTAATCCCTGTGTAGTTGCCTCAGACCTGAATCTTGGATCCTTAATTCAATACATAGTATAAGTGTTTACAAGTGGTTTAATCAGTGGCTAAATATTTGTTCAGTATAACTATTAACATTCATCATCCTTCTTCCTTAATGTATTAGTTTCTCTGAAAAATAAGCCACAAAGTCTGTCCCTTTAGTTAAAAAAGAAAACAACAAACCCAAAAACCTGAAGATAAATTTTATAACATGGCGTGAACTGGAATCCCTAATAAAAATAGGCAATATCCTCTCCTACTGTTTAGTGTGCAAATCCTCTGACGTACTTTGACCAGTTTTTAGCTCCATGCTGTGTTTTCCATACATTCAATAAAATTCATGGGCCACCTATTTTCTCATTGTCAATTTCTGCATGTGCTCGGAGAAGATTTCTAATTTTTCCATAAGTAAAATACAGGTAAATGCAAATCTAGGATTTTTTTCCCCCCATAATGTCTCAATGCATTGTTTCTGGAAGTAAACTGATCAGCTAGAGTGAACAGAAATAATAATCTACCTCAGACTTATGTCTGGTACAATTCTCAAAATAAAGAATTTAAAGTTTGGAATCATGACACACTATTTTTTAACACTGATGATTTCATTTTTCTTGTTAAAAGTAAATATTTAAATAAAATAAATGGTATTAACTTCATTAGCTCTCTAATTGGCCCATGATTTGCTGATCTGCCAAAGAGCTATCTGGTGACTGAAAGTCTGAGACTTGGCTTTATAGTGTGAAAAGAAGCTATGAAGCAGGCTTCTCAGTTTGAATCCCTTTTTACATTCATTTAACCCATTAATTTTTTCCACCAGGAATAGTGTCTTCAGTTAGTTAGATGGTAATAGTTAATAGAAGTGGAAAAGTACATTTACTCCTTAGAATATGTGTTTACTGATAAAACTATGGACATAGTCTGTGCTGAAAAACACTGGGATGGAAGATCCTAATTCCATTTGGGGTTTTTTATGTGAAAGAATTTGCCCCTACCTCAATTGCCAGTTTCCGCATTCCAGGATTGTGCATGTCACATATGAACTCAGTGGACCGTGTCTTTGTTGCAATGAATAACTTGAAACCCTGCCAATACAACTTAGAAGAAAAACTTCCTCATCTGTAAAGTGAGGGTATTCTCAAAGATGTTTTCCAACTCTTATATTCCATGAATTTAAAAATCTAATCTTCGCAAGTAACCACAAAGCAAAGAGCCAGGGAACACAACGACGACTAATATTAAGACGACATCCTGAATGTTACGTTGTGTATCTTCACTTCCCCCTTATTTTTAACCTTCTAATTCTACTTTCCCCAACTTTCCTCCAAAACCTTTCCCTAGCCCATTTTAAGTTCTTTACATTCTGACCAAACATTTGTTTCTATAGCTTAAAAAAATTATACATAATTATATGTCATCTGTGTGGCAGGAAATAGTTTAGATCCTGTGGATACAATAGTGAGAAAAACAGGTAACAATTCCTGCCTTCCTGGAGCTTACATTCTAGTCAGGGAAACAGACAATAACCAAGATAAATAAGTAAACAATAAAGTATATTAGGTAGTGATAACAACTAGAAAGAAAAAAAATATGCAGGGAATGGGGACAGGAACCTGTGAGGGGGCAAGGGATGCAGTTTTAAATGGAATAATCAGAGGAGACCTCTCCAAGAATTTGACACTTGAGTATAAAGAACTAGAGGAAGTAAGGAAGCAAGACTTACTGTTGGAATCACAGGTGCAAGGGCTCTGAGGCAATTGTTTTCTGGAATATTGAAGGAACCACAGAGGCACCATTATGGTTGGAAAAGAGTGAGCAAAGTGAAAGAGGGAATGGAAAGCAGGGCATGTTAAATAGGTCTTTATAGATCATTGTAAGGACCCCTCCTTTATTCTGGGTGAGATGAGAAGCCATTGAGTTCTCAGTAGAACAGTGACCTGGCTTACTTAAACTTGGTGATGCTTTGTTGAGAATAGACAATTAGCAGGCAAGGGCAGAAGCAGAGAGACCAGTTAGGAATCATTACAGTCATCTGGGTTTGAGATGATGATGGCTTGAACTGAGGTAATACAAGAGCCAGCTATATGGACTCACGGGCTGTACCCTTCACTGATCTAGAGAGCACTGTTCCCATCAACTAAAACATGAATGGTTCCCCCTGGAGTTGTGCACTGCAGTGGTCAAGAGGTGGGGTAAGAAAGTGAATGTATTTTGAAGATAGAATTGACAAAATCACCTGACAGATTCAATGTGGGGTATGAAAGCAAAAGAGGAGTCAAAGATGATTCCAAGATTTTTGTCCTGAGCAGCCAGGAGACTGGTCTTGCCAATTTACTGAGATGAGGAAGATAGACGTTTTGGGAGTCATATCCTAAGTTCAGTTTCTGACATGGAAAGACTGAGCTGCCCATTAGACATCTAAGAGAAGAGATATTAGAGAGGCAACTGGGCTTCTGGGCCTAGAGTTTCGGGAGAATGCCCTCCTTAGAGATACAAATGTGAGAGTCATGAGCATTGTAAATGACATTTAAAGCCAATACACTGGCTGAGATAACCAAGGGAGTGAATATGGATAGAAAAGGCCTTCACACAAGGCCTTGAGGCAGAGAATGGGGATATAAGAAGCCAGCTGAGGAAACTTAAGAAGCAGCAGCCAGAAAACTAGAAGAAAAATGAGGTAAGTTTGGTGTCTTAGAAGCCAAGTAACCAAGGGACTCAAAGAGGAAGGAGAATCAGATGATAGGTCAAGTAAAAGACTGCGAGTTCAACCATTGAAATTAGCAAAATGTCGCTCCCTGGTGATCTTAGTAAGAATAGGGTTGGTAGAAAGATGGGAGCAAGAGCCATTTTCAGGAGAAGATGGTAGGAGAGTAACTGAAGACAGTGAGTAAATGGCTTCACAGTGATCTTGCTGGCCCACGGCACAGCCAAAGAGGAGAATATGATGTAGATCTGGAAAAGTGTCTTACAGATTTGGTGTCTTTACAGTGGGAACTATCTGGCTCCTTTCTCCCTCTGTCCCTTGCCTCCCGAGGATATCATGACCAGCAGAGACTGAGAAACTACAGATAATTCAGAGCTCAGAAATCAGGGGCAGTGAGGTACCAGTCTGGGCATCAGACTGCACTGCCTTATCTCGAATTATTGCCACAATTTCAACCTTTCCCTTTCCTTAAACCCCAAGCTCATACCTGTGCCCTTCCTTCTCTCCCAGAAGAAAACCTTATCTCCTCTTTTACTTTGAAGAGCTGAAATAACCCGCTTCTGTTTCAACTTCCCTCACTTCACTTCCACATTTCTCTAGCTCTCTGCCTATTTTATTTTCTTATCTGCTCAAATGACAAAGTAAGTTTCCTAAATTCTAAAACTAACCTCTAAGGTGAAAAGTATCTTTGGAAATTCTATTTTTCACATCCATCTCCCAGCCTACCTGACACCGGCATAAAAACATACTTACACATGCACACTTCCTCTCTATTGGCTCATCTCCACTGGCCTAGAAAAAAAGTCTCCATCTCCAAACTTCCACTCTAGGGCAGAGTTTAATACTTTGAGTCAAAAATCACAACACATTCATGCATTTTATCCAATAATCCTACTTCTGCTACTTACTCTGTTCTAGGTGCATAATCCTTTTTGTTTGTTTGTTTGTTTGTTTGTTTGAGATGGAGTTTCACTCTTATTGCCCAGCTGGAGTGCAGTGACATGATCTCAGCTCACTGCAACCTCCCCCTCCCGGGTTCAAGTGATTCTCCTGCCTCAGCCTCCTGAGTAGCTGGGTTTACAGGCGCACACCACTGTGCCCAGCTAATTTTTGTATTTTAGTGGAGATGGGGTTTCACCATGTTGGCCGGGCTGGTCCTGAACTCCTGACCTCAACTGATCTGCCCCCCTCGGCTTCTCAAAGTGCTGGGATTACAGGCATGAGCCACCACACTCGGCCACTAGGTGCATAATCTTAAATATCAAAAAAACCATATATATTAATTTGCTCACCACAAGGCTATTTATAATCATGGAGAATTAGAAGCAATTTAAATGTTCAGAAGTAGAAGAGCAGATGATTAACATTTGTATGTCAACTCAATAAAATATTTTGCAATGATTCAAAATTATAGTTATGAAGATTATATAATAAAATAGAAAATATTTGACAAGTTATATTTTAAGTGCTTTTCATATATTCTCAATTTTAATCCTCCCAATAATCCATAGGTAGATATTATTATTCCCATTCTAATCATGAGGACAATTAGGCATAGGAGATTAAACAACTAGGTCACACGTAAGTGGTGGAGCTGGGATTCCACTGTACCGCCCTTCAATATAAAAATAGGTTATGAAGCAATATCTACAGTGCATGCATATGTATGTATGATATATTCATTCCTAGGAAGAAAGGCTAAAAGGATATATAGCTAAAAGTGATTGTGTGATTGCATTATGGTGGTGGCAGTAGTATTAGAGGTAATTGTTTCTCTTCTCTCCAAATATGTTCTGTGTGATTATATGAATTCTATAATATTACATTTAATATATAAAAATAAAAACAAAGTCTATAGGTCTCTTATCTACGAACAACTTCCTTTTAGTTTCATGTGTACATGAAATCTCAGTCAAGGTTCAAGAAAGGAGAATAGGTCTTGTAATCATACCTGAATTTCAGTTCCAACTATCTCACTTCATAGCTATGGCAAGTAAAGCACGTTACTTAGCCTTTTACTTCATCTGTAAAATAGCAGTTTTTTGTGAGATTGTGTTTTTTTGTGAGATTTCAATGCAACTAAATGTGCTAAAGAATAGGTAAAACTGAACACAGTAAATACGTTTCTGCTCCCTCTGCTCTGATGGCCAATCTCTTTTCTTCATTTTACCATCACACATGTTGAACAGTCTGTACTTGTTAGTTTCAGTTCTATTTTTTTTTAAGAGGCAGAGTCTAACTCTGTCATCCAGCCTGGAGTACAGTGGCATGATCAAAGCTCACTGCAACATCCAACTCCTGGGCTTAAGGGATCCTTCTGCCCCAGCCTCCCAAGTAGCCGGGACCATAGGCATGTGCCACCACACCCAGCTAATTTTTAAAATTTTTTGTAGAGACAGAGTTTCAGAAGTGTGAGGCCAGGCTGGTCTCACACTTCTGGCCTCAAATGATCCTCCCACCTCAGCCTCCCAGTGCTGGGATTACAGGAGTGACGTGCCATGCCCAGACCCCATTCTTCTTTTCATATTTATACATCATTTCCCTATAGTCTAGATTCCATCCCCAACCCCAACCCGAACTCCAACCCCATTCTCTACAGAACCTTTCTTAATGTCTCTACTGGTCTTTTGTGCTATGACTGGTCCCTGTGCTATGACTTCATCTAGTTCTTGGCCTCCTCAAGGCCTTGGGGTGTTTGATACTTTGTGGCTCTTTGTCTGAACCCTTTCTCCCTTGGTCTGAATGATGTTGACCTCTCCTTGTCCTCATACCACAATGACTGTTTTCTTCTTTGTTGTATCCTTCCCTGGCTAAGCTCCCATAAATCATGCTTGGATTTAAATGTTATCTAGATTTTTGTCTCATATCTCTTCTCTATCTGAACTTTCAGAGCTTTTCCAGTTCCATGGTTTCAGTTGTCACCCCTCTACAAATGACTTAGAAATTAACATTTGATGGATTCTGTCTGCAGTTCACCCCAGAGAATACTTTAAAGTCAACATGTTGAAACCAAACTCATCATCTTCTCCTCAATCTTTTTCATTCAAGAGTCCCATCTGATTCAATCACATCATCGTCTCCTTAGTCATTTTCCAAGTCCTTTCCTTTTCTTCACCTCCATCCTTCCTTCAACATTTCAATCATGTGTCAAATTTAGTTGATTCTGCTTTTTAAAAAAATATTACGTGCATCTCCTTTCCCTTTTTGCGTTGCCATTACATAGTTGAGGCTCTTATTGTAATTAGTCTGGAATATTGAAACAGCCAGCCAACATGTCTCCAAGCTTCTACTCACTTTCCTCTCCAGAACATGTCTGCTGCTACAAAACAATTGTTTTCAGTGTAACACAACTCAGCAAGAACTGAAACATTGTTTTCAGTGTAACACAACTCAGCAAGAACTCCTGTTAAAAAACCACATGACCATGATTTTCTGGGTGGTATCAAATATAATGTAAAAAAGCCCAACAATGTGAACCACTGACTTAAAATTATTTATTCCTTCAATCACACAACAACTAACTATATGACAAGCACTATTTTCAACACTAAGGACACAATGTGATCAAAACAGACACACACTCTGCCTTCCTGAAGTTTACAGTCTCATAAAATGAGATAGATAAGAAAGAAATATCTAGTTAGATGGCAATACATGCTGTGGAGAGAAATAAGGCAGGGTAAAGAGGATGGAAAGTGGTAAGAGGTAAAGGATCGATATCGTAGAGGACATTCAAGTCAGGCCTCACTGAAAATGATGCTTGCACAGAGGCCTGAAGGAGGTGAGGGAATGAGCCATCAGGATATCTGGAGACAGAAAATCCAGGCAGAGGGAGCAGCATGCTGAGCCTTTGAGGACAGGCAAGAGGTGGCCATGGTTAGAACAGAGTTGAGAGGAGCATTGTAGGAGATGAGGTCAAAGATGTAGCAGAGGTCCTGATCACCTAAAGCTTCATAGCCATTTTTAGGACTTTAGCAGTTACCTTAAGTAGGATAAGGAGCCACAGAGGATTGAGAGGGGAAGGAAGCCATTTTGTGATATACCTTATGAAAGGATCACTCTGGCAGCTGTGTTAAGTATAGTGCATGGGGTGATGAGAAATGGATAAGGACTAAAGTAAAATAATTGACAGAATCTAGTAAAGAATTCAAGTAGGCAGTTAGATATATTAATCTGGAGGTCAAGGGAGAGATGAAATAAATAATTTTGGAAGTCTTTGGTGCACAGTTGGTTTTTAAAGCCTTGAGAGTGGATAAGCTGACACCAAAGGACTGAGTACAAAGGGTAAAAAGAAAGGGTCCAAGGACTAAGCCCTGAGACCTACCAGCATTTAGGGGGTAAGCAGATGAGAAGGGAGCACCACAAGGGACTAAGAAGGAGCTGCTGCCGATCTCCAGTGCAACATGGAGGCAAGAGCCTCATTAGATTTAGGTCCAGAGAAAATTAGAATAAAGAAATTGCAATAGGGAGTGAGTGATAACTTCACATATATCTAGCTAACCCACAGCTACCTTGATGGGAGCTCTATTGGTGGGAAGAGGCAGGAAGAGCCTGATTAAGTGGGTTCAAGAAAACCTAAGAGGAAATGAGTTGGATACTACCAGTATGGAAGGTCTTTGAACAGGTTTTGCCCTACAAGGGGGAAGAAAAACGAGGTAGCAGTTGGAGAGAATACAAGATGAAGACAGTTTTTAGAAGGCAGTGATGTTACAGAATATTTGTGTAAGACAAGCCAATAGAGAGGAGAAGATGACGATGCAAGAGAATCCATTGCAGGAGCAATGTTCTTGAGTCAGTGATAGGGGATGGAACATAATGGACAAGTGGAGTGGTGTGATCATAAATCACTTTGATGTAAAGACCATCTCATCAAGAACTCCAACAGCTTTCCCCCACTGCCTCCTTTGCATAACACCAAAGGTCCATCTTTGTGTTCTAACCACAGCCTACCTTTCATCTATGAAAAGTGAATACTCTTCTAACTTATATCAGTCTCCTCATGTTTATACACACATCTAGGATTCCTTTCTTTTGTGTACTATTGAGTAAGGAAAGAAGGCTATACATATTCACTAGAAGCTGTACTTTGAGTATCCATACAACCATCTGATTTTTTACTTTCAGTAAGTATAGTATTCAGTAAATTACATGAGATATTCAACACTTTTGTTATAAAATGGGCTTTCTGTTAGATGATTTTACCCAATTGTAAGCTAATGTAAGTGTTCTGACCATGTTTAGGCTAGGCTAAGCTATGCTGTTCAGTAGGTTAAGTGTACTAAATGCATTTTTGGCTTATGATATTTTCTAATTACCATGGGTTTATTGGGATATAACCTCCATGGTAAGTTGAGAAGTGTCTGTACCTGGTGAAGCATTGTATTGGCCAGGTCTGGAAGCCACATATATCACTTCTCGCATCCCATTGGAGAACAGTTAGTTACATGGTTGTACCAGATCACGAGAGAGGCTGGGAAATGTATTGTTGCTGGACATCTAGCTACTTTATTACGGTGGAAAAAGTGTAGCATGGGTTTGGGTGGACAGCTAGCAAACTCTTTCTTAGGCATCTTTTATGATACCAGTAGTTCTTTTTGAATATGAATGCGCTTATACAATTTTAAGCAATAAAACATAAAATGTACAAAAGGGTACAAAAAGGAATTCAAATATGCCATTAATCCTTTCTTAACGAGACTCTATCAAATATTCTCCTCTTAGAGCTCAAGGTTAGAATAATGAACCTGTTTTGACTAACAGCATTCCTGTAGCCTTCAGATTGAGCTGTTTGTATATTGAGAGAGGCATTTTTGTGTGTGTCCTCTATTAAGGTTTTGTCAGCATTTTACAGTTTTAGAAGATGAATTTGTTTTTGTTCCAAGGGTTTTTAAGTGCTTCAGTCAGTGGTCAAACAGGTTTTGAGCCTAGCTTTCAATGCCAACACGGAGAGGGAGAAAGAAAAATAATCAAAAACAAATTCCACAATCTAAAATGAACTTTTATCAAGGCTTTTGCTCTTTTAGACTTGAGTTTATCTTTATAATTAAGGAGAATGGTTTTTAAAATTTAGTTCCTCTGACACCCCAAAATTATCAAAATAAATTATGTTGTAGTGAATCTGTGTTTTGAAAGTCATTGATAGGACTTATATGAGTCAAAATTTTATGGATTATAAACTAGGCTTTATCTGGTTGGAAATAATTGCAATACAAGAAGCAACTTTATTAAATTAGACCTAAAGTCACAATCTTCTTCTTTGCTGCTTTTTAAAAATTACCTATTACCTTTAAAAGATCCCAAATTTAGAAGAGGAATTAAAATAAAAGTTAATGCAATAAAACACTTCCACAATATTCTATTACTTCAACCTCTAATCAATGAAAACATTAATGGACTACTCTTACTACGCCTGGTAGGGATGTGTTTGGGACATAAAACAGTTTAAAACCTTCAAAAGACAATGACTCAATATTTTCTTGTTAGACAAGTACTATTAGCACCTACAGCACATTTGAAGGTCTAATGGCATACTTCTGAAAAGCATTCTGCATTTCAGCATTATTTTGACCTGTACATTACACTTTTCCCTTCCCTCATCTTAGTGAAGTAGAGAGATTACTGATCTATTTCTTTATCTTAATCATTCCTCCCTAACCCCAAGACAAAGAATACAAATTAGAATTTACAAAATGTATTGTGCCCATGGAAATACATAGTTTTGTTACTGTACTCATAGATATTTACTACCCTTGTTAGTTTCATTCTGAAAAAAAAAAAAAATGCTTTCCGGGTTGTAGCATTCTTCAGATTTTCCATTTCCAAAAGGTATAGGTGCAACCCAGCTACCTTAGGAAAGGAACACTGTGTACCTGCATGCTGTTTTAGTGAAACCAGACAATGAATATTCAGCAGTCTCAAATGTGCACAGAAATAACATGACAATTAGAATTACAAAAAAGCCTTAGAGAAGAATATTGAACAATATTGGAAATCAGCCTTTGTGAACTACGTCTACAAAACCTCAAATCATTGGAGAGTTCTTAAACATATGGATAAAACATGTAAAAAGTGGTAGGGATGGAGTTGAAGAAGTTAATACTTGTTTTAACACTGGAGATCAGCTAAGCTTTCTCACATCTCACAACTGCTTTTTGCAAAGCTTTCTATTGTGTGACCTAACTAACTTTATTCTGTAGTTCCTAACACCTGTATCAATTACATTTTGGTTCCTCTGTTTAGGAAAAAAAAAATCAATCTTCTAACATCTTCTAAATGAAATATCTCTAAATTTATATAATGCTATTACGGTTTATTTTCTGTTCACTCTTATTCTTCCTGAATATTTCTTTTTTATTTTATTTCTTTTTTCTTTTAAGCTATCTCCTACAGGAAGGATCTGAATATTTCTTAGCCTTGATCTGAAAATGTTTAGTTCTTTGGAAATCGTCATTTACACGTAACTATGAATGTATCATTTCATTGACACTGTTGTGAAGTGATCTGAAGATAGAGGGTTGTGCTTTCCTTTGGAATTCATGTTTCAGAGCTTTAGGAAAACCTAATACTATTGCACTAGATCTTACACTAAAGAGTCTGATAATCTGTTGAAGATTACCAATGGGAACAAAGATTCTTTGTCATAGATACAACCCTCTTCATCAGGAAAGTCACATTCAGGTAATAAGAGCAATTATTCTTGATTTAATGGGAGCCATTTTATAAAGGCCTCTTCTAACTCACACTTTAGAGGTATGAATATAATTGAATGTTGTAATTTTTAATTTCTCAGATCCATTCTAAAATTATCTAAGTGTGTAAATTAATGCTTAGTATTCTAGTATTCTAATGGCAGACACAAACACTGTATTTCCTGTTTTTGGGACAGTGTCTTAACTGTGAACAAGTAACAGTAAAATATTTTCCTTGGAGATATTATAACAAATATCTTGGAGATATTATAACAAATAACAATAAAATATTTCCCTTGGAGATATTATAGCTTCAGAAACAATAACATCAACAATTCATTAATTATATTAATAATAATATTCATTAAATGTACCAGG